>NC_000023.11:78523148-78826178 GCF_000001405.40 Homo sapiens | reverse complement strand
AATCTGTCTGTGGCACTACCATAGAAGGGATGAACTTGAGAGCCCTGGGCACGCAAAAAATTCTATGTGGAAACTCAGAGATAGAAATTCCTTTTGTTCCTAATAATATGTTTAGTCATATCTCCTTGTTCTTGCCCAGGTCTTCAGTCCATCTAATGAACATAGGTGTACAAACGCACTTCTCAGGAACAACCCACATCCCAATGACAGCTCTTTGCCAAGAGACCACTTTGTGATTCTTTATACCAAACGATATAACATCATGGTATAGCACCACCTAAAATCTTTGGCAATTTCTCTAGGATGACCTCAGAGGAAAAAAGTGAGACGAAATGTCAATTCCATCATCTTTCCTTAAAGACATCTCCATTTGATCTATTTTGTACATTTATTTTTATACAAATTTTGTTTCAAGAGAAAAAATCTGCTTCTAAAAGTTTAAGACTACTAGACTAGTAAAACTCTTTTGGGCATCAGTCTCTTTTCTAGTAAAACTGTAATAATAATAATACTCTACAACCTAAAGCATATTACATTATATATTTTTACTAATCTGTCTCTAACCAGGAAATAAAAGAACTCCCTGAGAGGAGGTAACTGTCATTCATTTATAAGACAAGAACACATTGAATATCTTTTTGTATCAGGCACTGGGAATAGGCAATAAGGGATTCATATGAGCAGACTCTTGTCTTCCAGAAGCTTACTCTCCAATCATTCCAAAGACCTTACAGCAGCCTAAAAAGCCCTGCATGATAGTCTACTCAATCTTTCTGACCTCATTTCCTGACACTCAACCCCTTGTTCTTTGTGTTCTAGCCATACTGGCCTTTTTACTATTTAATGAATAATTCAGGCATGACCTAGCCTTGGGACCTATGCATTAACTGTACCCTTATCTGGAATATTTTTTGCCTAAATACATACATGGTTAACTCTCTCTTCTCTTCAAGTATCCTCTAATGTTACTTTCCCAGATTAAGCCTATCGTGACCAACCAATTTACAATTCTAACAAGAAAGATTGGTCTTTCAATGTCTGCAAGTCTAACAATAGAGCAGTATCAAACCAATTACCAATTAGGCCTAATTTTGAGAAAAAAGATGTGTTTTTTAAAAATTAGGTATCCTCTGGAAGAAAACTCAAGCTGATTCTGAAGATTAGCAAAAAATTGCAAACTGAGAATCTCATTCTCATTATCTAGCTGATGGACTCATTAAGTGAAATATTTTCTTCGGCTAGGTCTCCCATGTTAAATTCTTCAAAATTACTTTAGAGTACATTATAGCCTTCAAATGAGTAACAGCTACAATGAAACTATGTCCACCTGGTTCTCTAGACCAGCCGCATATGCTCTTAGTGGCCTCTATCTTCCCTTGTCTATAAATTGCTACCTGCTTGGATCTCTAATTTACCACAGAAATTGCAAATTTTACCCTAATTTTCTTATAATTAAATTTCATTCATTCACTTATTCATGTAACATACACTCAATAGGCGTTATATGCTGGGCCGTGGAGATGCAAAGACATATGAAGCCCAATGATTTCCAAGTGAAAAAGGAGTAGGAAAGAGCATTCCAGATAAAAGCACTAGCAGATGCAAAGGCTCAGAGACATAAAACCTTTAAGTTGTTTTGAAAAGCTGAATGTTGCAGGAGAGCTAGGCAGAGGTTTGTGTAAACCATAATAGGAAGCTGGAACTTGTGGCTATATAAAGTTATCAATGAGCTTTTTGTTTGGTTGGATAATGTAGAATTGTTCATTGGCAAATAAAGTTATATATAAGATATTGTTAGGTTAAAGATAAAATTATAAAATAGTAGATACAGTGTGATCCTATTTTATAATAAGAATGACTATGTATTTTGACATGGAGAGATTCCTAAAAGAATCCAAAATGTAAATAGTGGTAGGATAAACACTGGATTATTGATAATATTGTATTTTCCCTGTACCTCCATACTATCTGAATTTTTAAAGTAATAGCATTTATTTGATTATTTTCTAACTTAATAATCATTTTTATTTTAGAAAATATCAAATGGACATTAAAACTACTATTTTTCTGTCACAAAACTTCATTTGAATAACTACATTTGGCCTATAATATCCAATTAGAAAGTATTAGAAGCAAACTTGATTTGTGAATGCAAACAAAAATGTTTGCTTATATGCACTTTGATGCTATTTCCAATCATAGTGGGCCTCTAATAAAAATTATTTTAATTATCCTTTCATTTCTGTGTCACAATGTTTTATTTTTCTGCTCATAGTTGCCTATTAAACTATTATCTCTCCTCTTATGCACTTTCAGACTCAGGATACAGAGAATGAAATAGTCCTCATTTTTTTCCATCTTATCCTTTTTTAGCTGAAGGTCAAGAACATTAAAAGGTGGCAGATGTCTGAATGAAAAAAAATGTCAGATGTTGCTAAATTTAAATACTTACCCTCTTTACACGAAACAAGTTTGCTAAGGTGTTTCTTTCCAGCAAAACACCAAAATATTACAAAAATTCTAAAAAGTTTGTTCATTATAAACAAACCCCTTTAATGATCTTACTGCTTGTAAAACTATAATTATTTTATATGATTAGCTCATAGGTTTTCTGTTTAAAAAACATCAATTTGTGTAAGAAACTTGTTGATGGTCTGTAAATAGTAAGAATATACTCCAGTATATCTTTTTTTTTTTTTTTTTTTTTTTTTTTGAGACAGAGTCTCACTCTGTCACCCAGGCTGGAGTGCAGTGGTGCGATCCCGGCTCACTGCAAGCTCCGCCTCCTGGGTTCATGCCATTCTCCTGCCTCAGCCTCCCAAGTAGCTGGGACTACAGGCGCCTGCCACCACGCCTGGCTAATTTTTTGTATTTTTAGTAGAGACGGGGTTTCTCTGTGTTAGCCAGGATGGTCTCGATCTCCTGACCTCGTGATCCACCTGCCTCGGCCTCCCAAAGTGCTGGGATTACAGGCGTGAGCCACCGCGCCTGGCCAGGTATCCTTTAAAACAAGTGGTCTCTCAGACAACAGGAAGAAATAGGCAGCTTTATATATATATTTAAACTGTGGAACTCTTCTAAGCAGGCCAAAAAGAAAGTGAGGAATAATGGACAAAATCTTTTTGCTTATTATGGGCATGATTCTAGCTGCACATACTCCATAGTATTACTCAGACTCAGAATAGAGCATAGCTGCGTTCTGTGGCCAATTGTGTGCCACCATTCCTAAGCATGCCCTTAAATCACAACTATCTTTTCCTTTGTCTATCCTTCTCTATGTCTCCATGAATTTGTAGGCCTCTGCAAACTTCACCTAGTGCTTTGATCTTTTAAAACACATAACCTCTGGGGTTAAGGCTGTTTTTTGTCTCTAGGATATTAAAAAACTATCACTGGAATTTCTCATTGGTAGAGTCCATAACCTTCAACTCCCAAGTATGGAAAGTCGGGATGCATGTAAGACACTATTGAAACTCTCCAATTTGACTTCTTGCTTTTCCTTTATCTCCCTTTTTGTTTTCAGGATTTGTGCTGGAAACATATGTAGAACACTTGGGCTGTAGCATTTGCATATTTCTAATGCAATCATGATGCCTGCACACAGCCTAAATTGGGACGAGTATGGGGAAGCCATCCAGTATCCCTTTTTTCCTGGGCTGCTCTACAAGAATGCACATTTCAGTGATGCTTTCAGCAAGTAGGAACATGATTTTCATTGCACCATCATTGTGACTCCCTGAGTATAGATCTTTGCCAAACTGGTTTGATTCTTTTCCAAAGCCAAAACACAAGCATTTTGAAATTTTTCTAAGTATGCACTCCAGGGAGCAACATTTTGGGGGAAAAAATTACAAACACTTAGGGGCAGGGATAGTAGAACCTTCTTTCCTACTGTCAGAACACCAGGAACTTCATGCTATCTGTATTTTTTCTACTTATCATGAAAATTGCTTTCCTAGAACCATTCCTCATAGCTGGCATTATTGATCTAGGTGAACTCTGATTTTGGCACTACTCCCCATTCCTAGAAGGAACCCTCCTTTTCCCAAATAAACAGGATCTCAATGAACAGTGGGCAGCTTTGTGCTCTGTTTCTATCATGGTGGAGATGTGAGGATTACCTGCTGGCTATAGGGAATTTTAGTAATATATATTCAATGGGAAGGAGCAACCTCTGCAATCCTCAGTTATCATGGCAGTCTTCACCCTTGCTGTCTTCTCAGATCTCAAGCCTTTCTTCAGTGGAGACAGAGAAAGGTAATGACATACGCAAAATTTTAGAAAATTTTATGTTCAATGTTGGCAGAGGAACCTCACCACCACTATCACTACCAGCACCACAGCAGGATTCCATCTACAGACACTTGTAACTGTTCCAAATTCTCTTGTTGAGCTTCCTCCAAAACCCCTGCTAACTTGGGCCACAGGCTTGCCCACAACCTTTGACTCTTTGACCATGCTCCAATTTGTCATCTCCTTCTCTGCAAGACTGGTAGCTGAGACTGACCAATCTTCAGCTTCATTTTGGCTCCACATCTTGAATTTCAACATCCTGTCTATGCCTTTCCAGGACTCCCACCTCAGGCTGCTTCTATTTTTTTGCTTCAACAGTGAGCTGATGAACAGTTCAGCTCACTACACATCTGTGATAGAATGGGTTAAAAATAAATCCCTCTGAGATTTAGGAAATCATCTGGAAGCAGAAGCAAAAAGCAAATGATCTTTTACAGACCCTCTTAGAACAAAGAGTATTTTAGGAGAGAGAGAGATTAAACTATTACATATTTATTGTAAATCCAAAAGTTTGAAAATATCTCATTTGTTGTCAGAACCCCTGTACTTAATGCAGTTCTCTATGGATTTATAGAATGTTTTCTGACTGCTTTGTCTATTCTTAAACTCACTTACAAAATCCATGAAGGCAGGGATCATGGTGGCCCACATTTATCTTACTAGTTTTAGTATTTGGATCCATTACTGTACAATTCTCAACCTCACACATAATTTCTTTAGAGTAATTAACACAAATTATCACACTCTCCTCCTGGGAATTGTTACTTTGATTTCCGTGATATCATTCCCTTTGGTTCTCTGCATCTCATTCTGAAAAGTCCTTCTTTATCTCCTTTAATGGCTCTTCTTACCTTGCATATCCCTTAAATATGTTGTTCTTTTCGTTCTCATTTTTTAGTACCATGCTCTTGCTCTATGTGTTCTAATTTATGCTATGGTTTTAAATACCACCAACACACAACTGACTCCTATATGCAGCCAAGAGCTCATTTCCAAACTTCAGACCCATTAAACTGTCTACTGGACATCCCCAATTGTTTGTTCCACAAAAATATCCAAGTAAGTCAACATGTCTGAAGTTGAATCCATCAGCTCTTATTTCCATTCCAAATTAATCCCCTTTTGGGCTTTTCTTTAATATGAAACAGTAACCGCCATTAATAAACACAAGCCAGAAACCAATGATTCATTCTAAGATTTTTGTTTTAGTACAGTGTAGAATTTCCTTCCTTCCTTCCTTCCTTCTTTCCTTCCTTCCTTCTTTCCTTCCTTCCTTCCTCTCTCTCTCTCTTTCTCTCTCTCTCTCTTTCTCTCTTTCTTTCTTTCTTTCTTTCTTTCTTTCCTTCTTTCTTTCTTTCCTTCTTTCTTTCTTTTTTTTCTTTCTTTTTTGAGACAGGGTAACTCTCTTTCACCTTGGCTGGAGTACAATGGCGCAATCACAGCTTGTTCACTGCCACCTCCACCTCTCAGGCTCAAGAGATTCTCCCACCTCAGTTTCCCAAGTAGCTGGGACTACAGGCACGCACCAGGACGCCTGGCTAATTTTTGTACTTTTTGTAGAGATGGGGTTTTGCCACATTTCCCAAGCTGGTCTCAGATTCCTGAGCTCAAGCAATCTGCCCACCTCAGCCTCCCAAAGTGCTGGGACTACAGGCATGAGCCATTGCACCTGGTGGGATTTTCTTAAACAGTTTTATTAAGCTCCAATTGACATATAATAAATTGCACATATTTAAAGTGTATAACTGAATACTTTTTTATATATAATACACCAGTTGAAATATTACCATAATAAAAATAATGAACATGTCCACCAATCCCAAGTTTTCTCATGCCACTTTCTTCCCACTCCTTTACACGTGCCCACATTCCTACCACTAGTTTACTTTCTGTCATGATATATTAGTGTCATGGGTTAAACTGTGTCCCCCCAAAAATGTATATATCAAATTCCTAATTCTAGAACGTCAGAATGTGACCCTATTTGGAAATCTGATCTTCACAGAGATAATCAAGTTAAGATTATGGTGGGCCTTAATCCATTATGACTTACATTACAAAAAGGGAAATTTGGACACAGAAGCACACACAGGAAAATGCCATGTGACAATTAAGGCAGAGATCAGGGTAACCCTTCTACACACAAAGGAACACCAAAGATTGCCAGCAAACCACCAGAAACTAGTGGAGAAACATGCAACCGATGCTTCCTCACATCCCCCAGAAGGAACCAACCTGCCCACACCTTAATCTCATATTACTAACCTCCAGAACTGTGAGACAATAAATTTCTGTTGTTTAAGCCAGTCATTTTATGGTACTTCATTATGGCAGCCCTAGAAAATTAATACTTTTAGTTTGCATTTCCTAGGCTTTTATACAAATGGACTCATATAACTATGTATGCTTTTTTCTAGTTTCTTTCACAGAAAAATTATTTAGAAATTCAAGTATGTTTTTAGGATATAAATAATTCATTCTGTTTTATTGCTTAGTAGTATTCCATTGTATAGACATACCACAATTTGGTTATCCATTCACATGCTGATGGACTCTTGGGTTGTTTCCAGTTGGGATTATTAAAAATAAAGATGCTATGAGCATTCAGGTACAGTATTTTATCAACATATGCTTTCATTTATTGGGTAAATACAAAGGAATGGAATGACTTGATATATGGTGGGTATCTTTAACTTTCTAAGAAACTAACAAATTATTTTCTAGAGTATTTTGCAAAGTACCATTTTACACTCCCACCATGAGTGTATGAAAATGTCACTTTTGCCATATGTTTTTCAACACTTAGTATGGTCAGTCTTTTAAATTTTATCCACTCCAGTAAATGTGCAGTGTTCTTATTCTATCTGTAACTTGCATTTCTCTAACGACTAGTTACATCAAACATTATTTCCTTATTTATTTGCCATTTATGTTTCTTATTTGATGATGTGTCTGTTCAAATATTTTCCTCTTGTTTTTAATTCCAGTTTGTTTCCTAATTATTGAGATTTGAGAATTATTTAGAAATTGTATATTTAATTCCTTTACCAACTATTTATTTTGCAAATTTTCTATTCCAACCTTTGGCTTGTATTCTCATTCTCTTAACAGCACCTTTGGGAAAACCAAAGTTTTTAACTTTGATACAATCCAATTTATCAATTTATTTTTCATAGATCTAGCTTTTCACCATGCATGTGACCATGTAGAAACATTTTTTCTAAACCTAAGTCACAACGATATTCTTTTATATTTCCTTCTGGAAATTTTTACAGTTTTAGTTTTTATATTTAGCTCTATGACCCATTTTGAGGTAATTTTTGTACATAATGCAATGTATGGATAAAAGTTCTTTTTTGCAGGTTTTGATATTCAGTTGTTTCAGTGCTGTTTGTTGAAAAGGCAATCTTTCTCTACTAAGTTGTCTTTTCACATTTGTAGAAAATCTATTGTTCATATATGTGTGGGACCACTTCCGGATTCTCTATTCTGTTCCTTTGGTCTACTTTATATCAATATCACTGTTTTGATTGCTGTAGCTTTATAATAAATCTTGAAATCAGATAGCGTTAATTCTCTAGCTTTGTTTTTTATATTCAGATTTGTTTTGCCTATTCCTATGTCCTTTACATTTCCACATCAAATTTATAATCAGCTCATACATTTTTACGAAAAAAAAAAAACCCTGCTGGAATTTTTATCTGAATTACTTTAAATATATAAGTCAATGTGGAGAGAATTGGCACGTTAATAATATTGTATCTTCTAACCTATCAGCAGATTATAGCTCTCTATTTTTTAGATCTTTTATTTCTCTTAGAAACTTTTTGAAATTTTCAATATGTAATTCTTTTTTTAACATCCTGCTATGTTCTAATTCACACATTTTTCAAGTTTTTCAGTATTCAACCCTTTTGTCAGATTTATCCTTAAGTTTCTTTTTTCTTTTCTTTTTTTTTTTTTTTTGAGATGGAGTCTCGCTCTGTCTCCCAGGCTGGACTTCAGTGGCACGAACTTGGCTCACTGCAAGCTCTGCCTCCCGGGTTCACACCATTCTCCTGTCTCAGCCTCCTGAGTAGCTGGGACTACAAGCGCCCGCCCCCATGCCCGGCTATTTTTTTTTTTTTTTTTAGTAGAGACAGGGTTTCACCATGTTAGCCGGGATGGTCTCGATCTCCTGACCTCGTGATCTGCCCGCCTAGGCCTCCCAAAGTGCAGGAATTACAGGCGTGAGCCACCACACCTGGCTTATCCCTAACTATTTAATATTTTCAAAGCTATTGTAAATTTTCTTTTTATTACCATTTCTTATAGTTCATTGCTAGCATATGGAAATACAATTGATTTCTATATATTGATCTTATATCCTGTAATCTTGATAAGTTTATGAAATAATTCCAGTTGTTTTCTTGCACTTTCCTTTGCATGACTGCACTCTCTACATATATTGGCATGCCTCTGTGAATAAAGATAGTTTTCCTTCCTTCTTTTTAATGTGTCTTTTATTTTTTTATCTTGCCTTATTTAATTGGCTAGAACCTCCATTTGAAGGTTGAATAGAAGAGAAGTGGGGAGAATGTACATCCTTGTCTTCTTTCTGATCTCAAGTAGAAAGCACTTAATCTTTCTCCATTAACTGTTATATCAGCTATTGAGTACTTTTAATCTTTATGGGTACATAGTAGGTATATATATTCATGGAGTACATGTGATATTTTGATACAGGCATATAGTGGATAATAATCACATCAGGGTAAGTGGGTTATCCATCACCTCAAGTATTTATCTTTCTTTATGTTGCAAATATTCCAATTATACACTTTTAGTTATTTTTAAATGTACAGTAAATTATTGTTGACTATAGTCATCCTGTTGTGCTATCAAATACTAGATCTAATTTATTCTATCTAACCCTGTTGATTTTTTATAGATACCCTTTATTTGTAATTTTTGGTAGTTTAAAATGCATGGGTAAATTCAATTCCTATTACTCCAGTTTGATAAGAAATAAAAGTATATCCCCTTGCCACCATTTTTTTTTTTTGAGACAGAGTTTTGCTCTTGTTGCCCAGGCTGGAGTGCAATGGTGCGATCTCTGCTCACTGCAACCTCCGCTCACTGCAACCTCCACCTCCCGGGTTCAAGCAATTCTCCTGCCTCAGCCTCCTGAGTAGCTGGGATTACAGGCGTGCGCCACCATGCCCGGCTCATTTTTTGTATTTTTAGTAGAGACGGAGTTTCACTATGTTGGCCAGGCTGGTCGCGAACTTCTAACCTCAGGTGATCCACCCGCTTCAGTCTCCCAAGTGCTGGGATTACAGACGTGAGCCACTGCGCCTGGCCTATGCCACCATTATTTCTTATCTGAACTTATTTCTTACCTGAACCAGCCTTCTGACAAGTTTCCTTGCTTCCAGTCTTGCCCTAATGTAATTCAATCTCTATGCTAGAATAAGTTTTAAATATGTAAATTTAATCATGGTATATCTCTAAGTAAATTCTTTAATTATCCTTGGCCTTCTCACCATGGTCTGCATCTCACTGACATGGCACCAAAGTCCCTTCCCAACCTGGTCCCTGCCTCCCTTTCAGCCTCACCTCTGCTCCTCTCCACCACTCCAATATTATATGTTCCAACAACCCCAAACTTCAGGTTATTATCCACAAAAAACACATACTTTTCCAAAGGGTGCAACTTTTCACCCACTCATACTACTCCTTCTGCCTCCCTCTTTGACTATTTAAAATCATTCATTTTTCAAGACTCAACTCAAGCAGCAATTACACTATGAAGTTTTCCCAGTTCCCACAAGTGTTAGTCTTCCTTTTAGTTTCTCCGAGACAATTTGTTCAACGCGCTTTTGTAGAATTTCCTGTGTTTTATTATAAATATTTGTTCACATATCCTTGATGTACTAAAGTGAGGGTTGTGAGTGTCAAGATGAATTGTGTTTCTATTTGCACACCTAACCTCTGGCGCTTGTGCCTAACACAATGCCTGATACAAAGCATCGGCTCAGTAAATAGGTGTTGAGTGGATAAGTGAATAATTAACTAGATTCTAAGTTTCCTTCTAGGTTTAGAAATATTTCTCAAAATTCAGCTATTCCATGGCCACTTTCACAATTTTCTCATGTCGCATACCATCGCTATGATTGCTTACTTTATGTTTTACTTTAAGTCAATATACATTTTTACTTCAATACCTAGGCCAGCCTGTTCTAAGCAACTGTATCTGTGAATTCAGAAGCATTGTTTTAGTGATAGTTTTTTTATAAAGTGTTCAGACTTCTACTCTTGGTGATAATTGGCAACAGATGGCCCTTGCTCAAAAAGATAGCTACTATGAATAAGTATTCTTGTACGAACCTTTTTTTTGATAAATAATAATTGTACATTTTATTGGGCATGTGTGTTATTTTGATACATGCATACAATGTGTAATGACAATATTGGGGTATTTAGGATATCCATCACCTCAAAAATGTATCATTTATTTGTGTTGGGAGCATTTTAACTCTTTTCTAGCTATTTTGCCATATACAGTCAATTCTCCTTAACTATAGTCACCTTCCGGTGCTATTGAACACTAGAAGTTTTTCCTTCTATCTAACTATATGTTTGCACCTGTTAACCTCTCTTCATTCTCCCACCCACCCTTCTCAGTCTCTATTAACCACTATTCTACTCTCTACTTCCATGAGATCAACTTTTTTTAGCTTCCACATATGAGTAAGAACATGTGATATTTGCCTGTCTGTGCCTGGACTATTTCACTTAACATAATGTCCTCCAGTTTGCTGCAAATGACAGAATTTCATTCTTTTTTATGGCTGAACCATATTCCGTTGTGTATATACACTATATTTTCTTTATTCATTCTTCTGTTGATGGACTTAAGTCAGTTCCATATCTTGACTATTATGAATAGTGCTGCAATAAACATGAGGTTGCAGGTATCACTTTGATATACTGATTTCTCTTCCTTTGGATAAATACCCAGTAATGGGATTGCTAGATCTTATGGTAGCTCTATTTTTAATTAAAATTGTCATTACACATTGTATTTCTGAAAAGAATATCACTGGTATTTTGATATGGATGACATTTAATCTATAGATGGCTTTGAGTAATGTGGACATTTTCACAAAATTAATTCTTTTGATCCATGAACACGGGTTATTTTTCCATTTGTTTGTGTCTTC
Source organism: Homo sapiens (assembly GCF_000001405.40). Lineage (NCBI taxonomy): Eukaryota > Metazoa > Chordata > Mammalia > Primates > Hominidae > Homo > Homo sapiens. The sequence continues at coordinate 78,814,680 of NC_000023.11, read as the reverse complement.
TTCAATTTCTTTCATCAATGTTTAGTAGTTTTAGTTGTAGAAGTCTTTCATCTTATTCTTTAAATATATTATTATATTATATATTATTATGTTGTCCGAAAAGAAGGATAATTTCAATTCCTCTCTTCCAATTTGGATGCCTTTCATTTCTTTCTCTTGCGTGATTTCTCTGGCTAGGAGTTTCAGTGCTATGTTAAATAAGAGTGGTGAAAGTGGGCATCCTTGTTCCAGTTATTACAGGAAAATATTTCAGCTTTTCCCCATCCAATATGATATAGGCTGTGGGTTTCTCATATGTGGCCTCTGTTATGGTTAGGAATGTTCCATCTATGCTTAATTTGTTGAAAGTTTTTTATTATGAAGGGATATCAGATTTTAGCAAATGCTTTTCCTGCATCTATTGAGATAATTATATGGCTTTTGTCCTTAATTCTGTTTATATGATGTACCACATTTATTGATTTGCATATGTTGAAACATGTTTAGATTCCTGAAATTAATCCCACTTGATTATGGTGTATTACCTTTTTGATGTGTTGTTAGATTCATTTTGCTAATATTTTATTGAGGATTTTTGAGTCTATATTTATGAAGGATGTTGGCCTATGCTTTTCTTTTTTTGTTTTGTCCTTTCTGGTTTTGGTAGTAGGGTAATTCTTGCAGAATGAGTTAGAAAGAATTCCTGTCTCTTTAATGTTTTGGAATACCTTAAGAAGAATTTGTGTTAATTCTTCTTTGTAAGTTTGGTGGAATTCATATGTCAATCCATTTACTCCTGGTCTTTTCTTGTTGGGAGATTTTTATTATTGATTCAATCTTATTCCTCATTATTGGTCTGAACAGTTTCTTAATTCCCTTTCTGATTCAATCATGGTAGCTTATATGTGCCCAGTGATTTATTAATTTCTGCTAGATTTTCCAATTTGTTGGCATATTGTTGTTCATGATCTCTAATGATTCTTTGTATTTCTGTGACATCAGTTTAATGTTCCCTTTTTATCTCTGATTTTATTTATATGTGGCTGTTTTTCTTAGTCTAGCTAAGGATTTGTCTATTTTGTTTATATTTTCAAACAACCACCATTTTGTTTTTATGATCCTTTGTATTGTTTTTAAGTCTGTATTTTAATTCTACTCTGATGTTTATTATTTCTTCCCTTATACTAGTTTTGAGTTTGGTTTGTTATTAATTTTGTAGGTCCTTTAAGCGCATCAGCAGGTTTTTTATTTAAAATATTTCTACTTTTTTGATGTAAGTGTTCAGTCCTATAAACTTCCGTCTTAGCAATGCTTTTGCTGTATTTCACAGGTTTTAGTATGTTATGTTTCCGTTTTCATTTGTTTCATTTAAGTTTTTTATTTCCTTCTTAATTTTTTCATTAACTCAGTGGACATTCAGGAGTATGCTGTTTAAGTTTTTTTTGTTATGCAGTTTCCAAAGTTCCTTTGCTTATTAATTTTTAGTTTTACTCCGTTGTGGCTTGAGAATATACTGAATATAATTTTAATTTTTTAAAAAAATTTTGAGACTTGTTTTGTGTTCTAATATATAATCTGTCCTGAAGAATGTTCCATGTACTGAGGAGAAGAATGTGCATGTCTCAGCTTTTGGATGAAAGTTTTGGATAAATGCCTGTTAGGTCCTTTTGGTTTAAAATGAAGTTTAAATTCAAGGTTTCTTTGATGGTTTTTGGTCTAGATGATCTGTCCAATGGTAAGAGTGGGGGGCTAAAATCTCTAACTATTATTGTATTGTAATCTATATCTTCCTTTTTAGGTAATAATATTTGCTTTATATATCTAGGTGCACCAGTTTTGAATACATATTTATTTCAAATTCTTATATTCTCTTGCTGAATTGATCACTCTACATAATGACCTATTTTTCTCTTTTTACTGTTTTTGACTTAACATCCGTTTTATCTAAGTATAGCTACTCCTACTCACTTTTGGTTTTCATTTGCATGAAATATCTTCTTTTCATCCCTTTATTTTTATTCTTTATGTGTCTTTAGAGGTGAGATGAGTTTATTTTAGGTAGCATATAGTTGCGTTATGACTTTTTTATTCATTCAGCCAGTCTATATCTTTTAAGTGTAGAGTGTAATATATTTACATTCAATGTTATTATTGATATGTGAGGGCTTATTCCTGCCATTTTACTAATTTCTATTTGTTTACGTGTCCTTCAGTTGTTTCTCTTTCTTTTGTTTTTAATCATTGTAGTTTGGTGGTGTTCCGTAATGGTAACATTTGAGTTTTTTCTCTCCCTTATTTATGTGTTTGCCATACCAGTGGATTTTATACTCCCATGTGTTTTAATGATGGTAGATATCCTTTCATTTCCAGGTGTAGGGCTCCACTTAGCATTTCTTGTAGGGTTGGTTTAGTGGTTATGAATTCCTTCAGATTTTGCTCATCTGGCAAGAACTTTATTTCTCCTTCATTTTTGAAGGGTAGTTTTGCTGGCTGTAGTATTCTTGGCTAAATGATTTCTTTTTCTTTCAGCAACTTAAATATATCATACCTTTCTTTCTTAGCCTGTGAGGCTTTTGCTGAAAAATACACTGTTAGTCTAATGGGAATTCCTTCATATGTAACTTTATGCTTTTCTCTTGCTGTTTTTAGAATTATCTCTTTGTCTTTGACTTTTGACAGTTTGACTATAACGTGTCTTAGAAAAGACCTTTTTAGGTTGAATCTATTTTGTGAATATACTTTGAGCCTCCTATATCTGGATTTCTATAATTCTTGCAAGATTTACAAGTTTTCAGCCATTATTTCATTAAATAGGTTTTTATGCTTTGTCCATCTCTTCTCCTAGGAATTCCAGAATTTAAATATTTGGTCACTTTATGGTGTTCCATTGATGGCAGTGGCAGCCTGACACTCCACAGAGCTGGTGGGAGCCAGGAACAGGCAGGAGCCCTGCCCCTTTCTGAGATGACAGGATGGGAGCACTGCTCTCCTAGGCACAGCTGCAGCTGCAGAGCCATGGCTATGAACCCACACATCCCTATGATCTTAGGAGCCCAGGAAGTCCCCCTTCCCCCACAGGTTCAGAAGTGCCTGCTCCCACTGACTGGCCTCTCCCTGCTCCTGGTGCCTGCTCCAGGGTGGAGCAAAGTTGTGGTCAAGCCTGAGTGCTGTCACAACCCAGCTTGGTGTGCACACACTCAGGGTGGTACTGGTACACCAACCTCCTGCTGCCTTGGCCCTCTCCTAGCTGACAGGCATGGGAGGGAGAACAAAGTAGGGCTGAGGGTGGCTCCATGCAGGCCTGCAGGTGCCCCTCAGCACAAACAGCCTGGGCATGGTGGATGACATGTAGATGGCAGCACTAGGCAGACAGGCTCCTTGGTGGAAAGGGACAGGTCCCTGGTGAAGCCCACCTTCAAGCCAGTGATGGCCTGAAGTCTAGGGTATGGGCTGTCTGTTCCAGGTGGAGTCTACGGCCCAGATTAAGAACTTATGGTGCTTTTGCCGGGCCCACCCATGGCCACCCATGGACCAACCAGCACACACTTCCTCCCTTCTAAAGCCCATACAAACTGCAGACTCAGCCAGACTTACAGAGAGGTCGGGACTACCAGATGTGGGAAAGAGCTACTCACTTTGGGTCTCCTTGACTCATCAGGATGACCTGCCTGCAGAAAGGAGCTACTCACTATAGGTCTCCTCTCTTCTGAGAACTGGACACTCTTTCAGGACACTCATCAGGAAACTTTGGGTCTCCTGAGAGCTGTTCGGTCATTCAGTGAAGCTCCCCTCTGCCTTGCTCACACTCCAGTTGTCCACCTACCTCATTCTTCCTGGACATGGGACAAGAACTCAGGACCCACCAAATGGCATGACTGAAAGAGCAGTAACACAAACAGGCCTGAAACATACCCCTCACTTGCCACATTGTGGGCAATGAGAAGGAGAGACAAGCTGAAGCCCTTCACAGAGCCCAGACCTAGGGGTTCCCCAGGTCAGGGCTGTCTTCGCAGTTCCTGACATCTCCAAACTTCCAGGTTCTACCTCATTTCTTGGCACCCACAGTGGAAACCACTTGTGGTATGCCTGGTCCAGCCACAGCCTTTCATGAAGCGAGTGTCTGTACTGGCTCTTGGAGCAGCCCACCCCACTGCAGCTGGCATGTCTGGATGTGTGCAGTAGCAGGACTCCATGCTCACTCACACACCACTTGCCACTCTATGCCTGGCTCACCCTTGGCAGGCATGGGATCCAGGCCAGTAGTACAAGCTGATTGCAACTTGCTGGGCTGAGTGGGTGGAACAAGCCCAGTGAGCCTGAGCAAAACTTGGGCAAAGGCACCACTGGCCACAGAAGTTTCCAGCTGGAAAAGCAACACACAAAGGATTCTGTGACACTATATTTTACATAGGCTCTTCATTTTAAAATAATTTCACCTTTTTTATTGATGGGGTCTCACTTTGTTACTCCAGCTGGAGTGCACTGGTAGGATTAAAGCTAACTGGCACCTTAAATTTCTGACTCAAGCAATCCTTCAACCCCAGCCTCCTGAGTAGCTGGGACTACAGGCACCCAGAATCACACTCAACTATTGCATTTTAATTTTATGTAGAGATAAGGGTCTCTCCATCTTGCCTAGGCTGATCTTGAACTCCTGGGCTAATGTGATCCTGCCGCCTCAGCCTCCCAAAGTGCTGGGATTACAGGTGTCAGCCACTGCACCTGACCCACATAGGCTTTTTACATTCTTTTAATAATTTTTCTGTTTTTCTTGTCCAACTGAGTAGTTTCAGAGGACATGTCTTGAAATTCAGAAATTCTTCTGGTTTATCTAGTTTATTGTTTAAGGTCTTGAGTGTGTTTCTCTTTTCATCCATAGAATTCTTCAGTTTTAGAAATTCTATTTGGTTCTTTTTCAAATTTCTCATTCAAATCATGAATTGTTTCCTGATTTTGATTTCTTTGTATTTCTGTGTTCTATCCTATCTTATAGAGATTCTTTAGTACCAGTGTTTTTAATTCTTTTTTTCAAGCGTTTTATAAATTTTCTTTTCTTTGGAGTCTATTACCAGAGAATTACTGTGTTCCTTTGGAGAGACTATCTTTCTTTGCTTTTCCTTGTTTCTTTTGTTCTTGGTTTGGTATCTGTGCATCTGGAGTAATACTCACTTCTTCCAATTTTATGTATTGGCTTTCATAGGGAAAGACTTTTTTCTATAGATGTATCTTTCATGTTGGTTGGGTAGAAATATATTTGATGCTGATTCTGGGTGAGTAAAGCAGTGTACTCTCTGTACAATTTCTTCAGCTGTAATCAGCATCAGTTGTGTTGTTAAGTTCTGAAGTGTCTTAGACTGTGGTTTTTAATGGATGCTGTTGTAAGGCTTTGCTGGGGACAGGAACATTAGGTGGGCTGATCCTCGGGCACTAGCAGTGGTGGCATCAGGCAAGACAGACCTTTCTTTAGTCCCCCTGATGGTATGCACAGGCACCAATTGGGGCAGACAGGGCAGGTCAATCCACAGGCTCCCAGATTGTGTGTTTGGGTGCTGGCTGCAAGCAGAAGTGGTGGTGGGCAGAGCAGGTCTGTCATCAGACCTCTTGATAATGTATTTGGGCACCAGCACTGGTGGGTGAAGTTGGTCAATCCCCAGACTCCCAGATGATGTGCACAGGCACCAATGACAGGGATGAGAGGAGGGTCAGTCTTGTCCTCAGTCCCCTAGATGGTGCACTCAGGTACCATTTGCAGTGTGCAGGACAGTTCAGTTCCCAAACCCTAGACTACATGTTTGGGTATTGGTGTCAGGCAGGGGAAACCCTAGAGACAGCTTTTATAATATTAGTTGAAGACATGCTCAAATTAATATTCAAATTAAAAGTATTCATCCATGTACCAAGTATAATCAACTTACAAACCTATCAGTGGTACACATTTCACACTTTAGGAGCCACTGAGTCATATAATTGTGCAGTTCTGTCTCTTTCTCAGGGTCACACAGCTAGTGGCAATACTAGTACTTGAACCCTGGTCTTCTGGCCACCTACCCAAAAAATGCCCTACTAGATTGATCTACATCTTCAAAAACCCACCCAATAAAGAAATGAATGGATAGATGTGTACCAAGGAAACAGATGGAGAAAATAGGAAAGCCTAGTTTAGTGCAAATTACTGAAGATATTGCTTGTTCCAAACAAATATATGCAAGATACAGAAAATGGAAGGTGAAATACGAGGTGACTATTGGCTCAGTAAGGTGATTCATATTATCTTTCAGAGGGTCCTAATGCCAGATGACTAAGGAAGTCACAGAAGCATTCATGTCTAGCTCCAGAGAATTCTCTCTTTGTAATTTATCTCTGGATTCTCTCATTTAGTAGAGCTTATGCTTGGCAGTATAGCCTAAGGCTGTTTTCCATTTGTCTTACCGTATGCACAGACTGGTCATCAAGCATGAACTCCAAAAAGGCTAAATTTCTGAGTTATCAATTTATCTCAGGAAATGTGAAGATTATTTTTTCCAAAAAGAGAGAAAACAAAGGTGGTGAGAAAAACATTAATGTACTGAGTACAAACCTGGGAGTCAAAGTTTCTGAATCCCCATCATTGTCCTCTCATTGATTCAGTTTTAGAAAAACAAGTATGTTTAAGAAGTTTCCAGAATAAACATTTACCTTGGTTTAATTCAGGAATAGATTCATCATTAAGGTTTATTTTGACAAGCAAAAGAGTAAATATGTTGGCATTCATACAGAATGGACACCCTTTAATGAGTCCTTTTAATAGATCAGCTCAGCAGAAACACTGGTTCTGGACCAATTTCTTTGCAGAATCTACCCTGTAGAAGTTTTTTCCTTGAACTAAGTGACTGCATATTTATGATGTAGTTTTATGGGTGCTATTGATTCCACTAGAGCTGTAATGTCCCATCTAGAAGTACAGCAATCTAAATTACAGAGTGCAAGATTGAACACTGCTGAGGAAATTCCACTAAAGCAGTTATCAATCCAACATTGTAAATCTACCAGAAAAAGGAGAATAAGTATATGTTTTTACTAATTTATCCAAAATACTTTGGAAAACTTAGGGTTGAGGCCTGATTGACCTGCTAAGTCATGTTATTTCACCACCACCACCAAGCATACACTTGCACATTTTCTACCTAAAACTGGCAAGTCTAATTTGAAGAAATAGCAGCTACAAAAATATGTTTGGATATTGATAGATTTGACAGTCCCATAGGCGGCATTCTTTAATCTTTTAGATTTTCATTGTGGTTAAAAAACAATGACAAGATATTGTATTTGTTTCAAGGTTCTCTGAATTAGATCAGTTATTCTCAATACGTGGCACCCACCTCATCAGCAGCATCAGAGTCTCTTGGTAATTGAAAATGCAAATTTTCTGGCCCCACACAGACCAACTAAATTGAAACTCTGGGAGTGGGGTTCAGCAGTATGTATTTTAACAAGCTTTATAGACATTTCTATTCATCTCATTTTATCCAATGTAGAATGTCTCATTGTAATTTAAGTAAGATTGTCACCGCAGTACTTTTTCTCCTTCTAGGGTGTTCTCCTCATAGTCTAGTCTTATACACATCTGTTTGTATACCTTCATGTTTTTGCTCATGTTATGAACCTTTCCCTATCGCTGCCTAATTTCATCATCACTTATCTATCCAACTTCTACCCATACTTAAGATATCATTACCTTACACCTTTAAGCCTTTTTGTATTACTCCATTCTCATGATGCTAATAAAGACATACCCAAGAATGGGTAATTTATAAAGGAAAGAGGTTTAATTGACTCGCAGTTTAGCATGGCTGGGGAGACCTCAGAAATTTACAATCATAGTGGAAGAAAAAAACAAACATCTTTCTTAACATGGTGGCAGCAAGCAGAAGTGGTGAGCAAAATAGGGAAAAGCCCATTATAAAACAACCAGATCTCATGAGAACTCATTCACTATGATGAGAACAGCATGAAGGTAACTGACCCCATGATTCACTTACTGCCCACCAGGTCTCTCCCACAACACGTGGGGATTATGGGAACTACAATTCAAGATGAGATTTGAGTGGGGACACAGCCAAACCATATAATTCTGCCCCTATTCCCTCCCAAATCTCATGTCCTCACATTTTGAAACACAATCATGTTCTTCCAACAATCCCCCAAAGTCTTAATTCTTTTCAGCATTAACTCAAAAGTCCAAGGCCAAAGTCTCATCTGACACAAGGCAAGTCCCTTCCACCTATGAGCCTGCAAAATCAAAAGCAACTTAGATACTTCCTAGATACAATGGGGGCACAGGCACTGGGAAAATACACCTGTTCAAAAATGTGAGAAATTGGACAAAATGAAAGAGCTTTCTAGTTTATTAGCATAGAGGTGTTTGTAGTATTTTCTGATTGTAGTTTGTATTTCTGTGGGATCGGTGGTGATATTCCCTTTATCATTTTTTATTGCGTCTATTTGATTCTTCTCTCTTTTCTTCTTTATTAGTCTTGCTAGCGGTCTATCAATTTTGATGACCCTTTCAAAAAACCAGCTCCTGGATTCATTAATTTTTTGAAGGGATTTTTGTGTCCTATTTCCTTCAATTCTGCTCTGATTTTAGTTATTTCTTGCCTTCTGCTAGCTTTTGAATGTGTTTGCTCTTGCTTTTCTAGTTCTTTTAATTGTGATGTTAGGGTGTCAATTTGGGATCTTTCCTGCTTTCTCTTGTGGGCATTTAGTGCTATAAATTTCCTTCTACACACTGCTTTGAATGTGTCCCAGAGATTCTGGTATGTTGTGTCTTTGTTCTTATTGGTTTCAAAGAACATCTTTATTTCTGCCTTCATTTTGTTATGTACCCAGTAGTCATTCAGGAGCAGGTTGTTCAGTTTCCATGTAGTTGAGTGGTTTTGAGTGAGATTCTTAATCCTGAGTTCTAGTTTGATTGCACTGTGGTCTGAGAGACAGTTGGTTATAATTTCTGATCTTTTACATTTGCTGAGGAGAGCTTTACTTCCAAGTATGTGGTCAATTTTGGAATAGGTGTGGTGTGGTGCTGAAAAAAATGTATATTCTGTTGATTTGGGGAGGAGAGATATGTAGATGTCTATTAGGTCTGCTTGGTGCAGAGCTGAGTTCAGTTCCTGGGTATCCTTGTTAACTTTCTGTCTCGTTGATCTGTCTAATGTTGACAGTGGGGTGTTAAAGTCTCCCATTATTATTGTGTGGCAGTCTAAGTCTTTTTGTAGGTTACTCAGGACTTGCTTTATGAATCTGGATGCTCCTGTATTGGGTGCATATATATTTAGGATAGTTAGCTCTTCTTGTTGAATTGATCCCTTTACCATTATGTAATGGCCTTCTTTGTCTCTTTTGATCTTTGTTGGTTTAAAGTCTGTTTTATCTGAGACTAGGATTGCAACCCTAGTTGTTTTTTTTGTTTTCCATTTGCTTGGTAGATCTTCCTCCATCATTTTATTTTGAGCCTATGTGTGTCTCTGCACGTGAGATGGGTTTCCTGAATACAGCACACTGTTGGGTCTTGAAAATCTAGAAGAAATGGATGAATTCCTTGACACATACACCCTCCCAAGACTAAACCAGGAAGAAGTTGAATCTCTGAATAGACCAATAACAGGATCTGAAATTGTGGCAATAATCAATAGCTTACCAACCAAAAAGAGTCCAGGTCCAGATGGATTTGCAGACAAATTCTATCAGAAGTACAAGGAGGAACTGGTAACATTACTTCTGAAACTATTCCAATCAATAGAAAAAGAAGGACTCCTCCCTAACTCATTTTATGAGGCCAGCATCATCCTGATACCAAAGCCGGGCAGAGACACAACAAAAAAAGAGAATTTTAGACCAATGTCCTTGATGAACATTGATGCAAAAATCCTCAATAAAATACTGGCAAACCGAATCCAGCAGCACATCAAAAAGCTTATCCACCATGATCAAGTGGACTTCATCCCTGTGATGCAAGGCTGGTTCAGTATACACAAATCAATAAATGTAATCCAGCATATAAACAGAACCAAAGACAAAAACCACATGATTATCTCAATAGATGGAGAAAGGCCTTTGACAAAATTCAACAACCCTTCATGCTAAAAACTCTCAATCAATTAAGTATTGATGGGACATATCTCAAAATAATAAGAGCTATCTATGACAAACCCACAGCCAATATCATACTGAATGGGCAAAAACTGGAAGTATACCCTTTGAAAACTGGCACAAGACAGGGATGCCCTCTCTCACCACTCCTATTCAACATAGTGTTGGAAGTTCTGGCCAGGGCAATTAGGCAGGAGAAGGAAATGAAGGGTATTCAATTAGGAAAAGAGGAAGTCAAATTGTCCCTGTTTGCAGATGACATGATTGTATATGTAGAAAACCCCATCTTCTCAGCCCAAAATCTCCTTAAGCTGATAAGCAACTTCAGCAAAGTCTCAGGATACAAAATCAATGTACAAAAATCACAAACATTCTTATACACCAATAACAGACAAACAGAGAGCCAAATCATGAGGGAAATCCCATTCACAATTGCTTCAAAGAGAATAAAATACCTAGGAATCCAACTTACGAGGGATGTGAAGGACCTCTTCAAGGAGAACTGCAAACCACTGCTCGATGAAATAAAAGAGGTTACAAACAAATGGAAGAACATTCCATGCTCATGGGTAGGAAGAATCAATATCGTGAAAATGGTCATACTGCCCAAGGGAATTTATAGATTCAATGCCATCCCCATCAAGCTACCAATGACTTTCTTCACAGAATTGGAAAAAACTACTTTAAAGTTCATATGGAACCAAAAAAGAGCCCGCATCGCCAAGTCAATCCTAAGCCAAAAGAACAAAACTGGAGGCATCATGCTACCTGACTTCAAACTACACTACAAGGCTACAGTAAACAAAACATCATGGTACTGGTACCAAAACAGTGATATAGATCAATGGAACAGAACAGAGCCCTCAGAAATAATGCCACATATCTACAACTATCTGATCTTTGACAAACCTGACAAAAACAAGCAATGGGCAAAGGATTCCCTATTTAATAAATGGTGCTGGGAAAACTGGCTAGCCATATGTAGAAAGCTGAAACTGGATCCCTTCCTTACACCTTATACAAAAATTAATTCAAGATGGATTAAAGATATAAACATTAGACCTAAAACCATAAAAACCCTAGACGAAAACCTAGGCATTACCATTCAGGACATAGGCATGGGCAAGGACTTCATGTCTAAAACACCAAAAGCAATGGCAACAAAAGCCAAAATTGACAAATGGGATCTAATTCAACTAAAGAGCTTCTGCATGGCAAAAGAAACTACCATCAGACTGAACAGGCAACCTACAAAATGGGAGAAAATTTTCAGAACCTACTCATCTGACAAAGGGCTAATATCCAGAATCTACAATGAACTCAAACAAATTTACAAGAAAAAAGCAAACAACCCCATCAAAAAGTGGGCAAAGGATATGAACAGACACTTCTCAAAAGAAGACATTTATGCAGCCAAAAAACACATGAAAAAATGCTCACCATCACTGGCCATCAGAGAAATGCAAATCAAAACCACAGTGAGATACCATCTCACACCAGTTAGAATGGCGATCATTAAAAAGTCAGGAAACAACAGGTGCTGGAGAGGATGTGGAGAAATAGGAACACTTTTATACTGTTGGTGGGACTGTAAACTAGTTCAACCCTTGTGGAAGTCAGTGTGGCGATTCCTCAGGGATCTAGAACTAGAAATACCATTTGACCCAGCCATCCCATTACTGGGTATATACCCAAAGGACTATAAATCATGCTGCTCTAAAGACACATGCACATGTATGTTTATTGCGGCACTATTCACAATAGCAAAGACTTGGAACCAACCCATATGTCCAACAATGATAGACTGGATTAAGAAAATGTGGCACATATACACCACGGAATACTATGCAGCCATGAAAAATGATGAGTTCATGTCTTTTGTAGGGACGTGGATGAAACTGGAAATCATCATTCTCAGTAAACTATTGCAACTGGAACAAAAACCAAACTCTGCATATTCTCACTCATAGGTGGGAATTGAACAATGAGGACACATGGACACAGGAAGGGGAACATCACACTCTGGGGACTGTTGTTGGGTAGGGGGAGGGGGGAGAGAGAGCTTTAGGAGATATACCTAATGCTAAATGACGAGTTAATGGGTGCAGCACACCAGCATGGCACATGTATACATATGTAACTAACCTGCACATTGTGCACATGTCCCCTAAAACTTAAAGTATAATAATAATAAAATTTAAAAAAAAGAAAGAGCTACAGGCCCCATGCAAGTCAGAAATCCAAAAGGGCAGTCATTAAACCTTAAAGTTCCAAAAAGATCTCCTTTTATTTTATCTCTCACATCCAGGTCACACTGTTGCAAGAGGTGGGCTCCCACAGCCTTGGGCAGCTTCATCCCTGTGGCTTTGCAGTGTATAGCCACCCTCTCCTCTGTTTTCATGGGCTGGTGTTGAGTGTCTGCAGCTTTTCCAGGTGCATAGTGCAAGCTGTTGGTGGATCTACCATTCTGTTGTTTGGAGGATGGTGGTCTTCTTCTCACAGCTTTACTAGGCAGTGCCCCAGTGGGGACTTTGTGTGAGGGTTCCAACCCCACATTTCCCTTCTGCACTGCCCTAGCAGAGGTTCTCCATGAGGGGTCTGCCCCTGCAGTAAATTTCTGCCTGGACATCCAGGCATTTCCATATATACTCTGAAATCTAGGTGGAGGTTTCCAGACCTCAATTCTTGACTTCTGTGCAGCTGCAGGCTCAACACCACTTAAAAGCTGCCAAGGCTTGAGGCTTGCACCCTCTGAAGCCACAGCCCAAGCTGTACCTTTGCCCCTTTTAGCCATGGCTTGAGTGGCTAGGATGCAGGATGGAGTCCCTAGGCTGCACACAGCAGGCCGGGGGGCCTGGGCCTGGTCCATGGAACCATTTTTTCCTCCTGGACCTCTGGGTCTGTGATGGGAGGGGCTGCCACAAAGGTGTCTGACATGCCCTAGAGACATTTTCTCTACTGTCTTGGTGATTCACATTCACCTCCTCGTTGCTTATGCAAATATCTGCAGTGGGCTTGAACTTCTCCCCAGAAAATTTGTTTTGTTTTGTTTTGTTTTTGCCAGGGGAGGGTCACATCATCTGTCTGCAAATTTTCCAAACATTTTTACTCTGCTTCCTCTTGAATGCTTTGCTGCTTAGAAATTTCTTCCACCAGATACCCTAAATTATCTCTCTCAAGTTCAAAGTTCCACAGATCTCTAGGGCAGGAGCAAAATGCCACCAGTCTCTTTGGATAGTAAGAATGACCTCTACTCCAGTTCCCAACAAGTTTCTTATCTCCATCTGAGATGACCTCAGCCTGGACTTCATCATCCATATCACTATCAGCATTTTGGTCAAAGCCATCTAAGAAGTTCCAAACTTTCCCATATTTTCCTCTCTTTCTTTAAGCCCTCCAAACTGTTACAATCTCTGCCTGTTACCCAGTTTCAAAGTTGATTCCCTATTTTTGGGGTATCTGTACAGCAACACCTCATTCTCTGCAGTACCAACTTACTATATAAGTCTATTCTCACACTGCTAATAGGACTGGATAATTTATAAAGGAAAGATATTTAATTGACTCACAGTTCAGCATGGCTGGGGAGGCCTCAGGAAACACAATTATGACAAAAGGGGAGGCAAACACATCTTTCTTTACATGGTGGCAGCAAGCAGAAGTGCTAAGCAAAAGGGGGAAATCCCCTTAGAAAGCCATCAGCTCTCATGAGAACTCACTCACTATTACAATAACAGCATGGAGGTAACTGCCCCATGATTCAATTACCTCCTACCAGGTCTCTCACACAACACATGGGGATTATGGGAATTATAATTCAAGATGTGATTTGAATGGGAACACAGCCCTACAATATCACTTCTCTAACTATTCTAAATTGAGCTCTCCCTTCACTTCATTCCAATCTACTCTACTTACTGTGGTCAATACTTAATTAATGTTTTAATGATTTACTGCCTGATTTATATAAGTCTATGTGTCTGTCTCATTTTTCCCAATTTGGTTATAAGAAACAGGATCAAGATTTTCTTTCTTCTCAGACCCCATGACAGTGCTGACCCTGTGAGGAGTAAAAATTTAATCTACTCTAATGACTCTGAGAATGACCTAATGATTGCTGTTTAAGAAATGCAGTGAAAAGTAGAAGGATAATAGATAAAACAACGTTCTTGATTCTCTTTGCCTGCAATTTAGGTTAGAAAATACACAGTAGAGGAGGAGGAATGCATTTAGCTGTAATACTTCCTGTATCTCTGTACTGTCTAGATCTAAAGTGGATTATGAGGAGAAGCAGCAGAAATCAGAAGGTAGAATAAGACAGGCCTGTCTACCTGACTAGAAGAAATCGAGTGTTACTTTTCTTCCATGGAATCCCTCCTAAACACTGGGGTTGACTCAAATTGTCCCTAGTTAGCAACTACTGCTTTTAATTAATAAATGTCTAGAAAGGTGTGAAATGGAAATAAACATTCAGCTTCACACCTGTGGAACTTCTTGACCACTCAAACAAAAAAAATGAGAACATACAGATCTTAGTTTCTATGAGGAATCAGTTCTGAGAAGAAGGTAGATTAATGAGGTCAGTAAACCCTTGGTCAATTGAATATAAGTCAAGCATCAAAGGCACCAAAATGAAAGGTAAACACACTCAGACTTTAAAGATTTCCTGTTAAAGTCCTGTCTTGTCTCACTGAGCATGTAACTCAGATCACAAGCCAATGCTGGAAAAATCTGGGAGGTTCAGCACACTCAGTTTAGAGGCAGAAGTTTGTTTTCACATGAAAAGGGGAATTCTCTGATGCTCAGGAATCTTTGAGAGCTCTCTGAAGAGCTCAGAAGATATCAAACCCGTAGAATCTCAATTTCAGTAGAATTAAAGTGCCTGCTTTCTTTCCTTTCCGGGATATATTGCAATTAGTCCTTTCTAAAGTTAATAGAAAGTAAATTACAGTAAATGAAAATATTTTGGAGGATAAGTCTTCATGGTGAAAAGCTGTCTGGATGACAAGTGAAAATGTTAACAGAGTTGGTCTATTGAAGATTTTTTTTTCTGATTTTTAAAATGAACCTAGTGCTTATTTGTAGGTTAGCAGTTCAACTGTTTTCTTTTCTAATTATCAGGCCAGTCGCTTGACTGAATTTATCATTTAATATGATCAATAAGACAAAAGGCACACAGATTTTGATTGGTTCTGTCTATTGTAATAAAAAACAAGAACCACATTGTTAATGCTTAAGAAGGTTCAGATAAAAAGGCTTCTTAAAATGAAGCACTCGTTGATAATTGACACCCACAACTTTATATAAGAATTGACTCAAATCACAATTGTTAAGTGGAAAAATATTCTCCTGGGTCCCATTACATTTTTAGTCACTTAAAATGGAAATGTTTCCTGGGATCTGGTTCTTTTATTAGTTAATATTTATTATTATGATTTATTGTTTTATATTTATTGTGCCCCCAAATTTGCATAGACTAACCCATTTAATTCTCACTATAACCTCTTGAAATTGATATTAACTTCACCATTTCATGAATGAAGAAACCGAGGGTCAAAGAGTTTGAATGACTTGCCTGCTTGCATCAGGAATTCCACTTCAGGTAGTCTGACTCCAGAGTCCATACTCTGAACTTATTCTATTCTGATTCTGCATATAACTCTACTTCTTCTATCTTTATTTCATACCTATTAATGCAGAGTTGCAGTTTAGAAAGAGATTAAGAAGATGGGTTTTGGATTCAGACAGACCTGAATTTGAATCTCAGCTTACCACATACTAGCTGCATGAACATGGGTATTTTACTTAACTTTTCTCATCCTTTATTTTGTCCTTTTGTAAAATAAGCCTAATAACAACAATTTAACAGGATTATTCTGAGGATCAAATTGGCACGATGAATGTCACATACCTTGCACACAGAAGATCAGTTCATTATTACTTTTCTGTTGAGGAAGTTTTCTAAGTAGCTAACCATTTCTCACCATAGATAGCCCATAGATATTTCACCTCTATGCTTTCCCATTTTTACCCTTACCACATTCACCAAAACTGCCAAACTAGGCCCATCCTAAATTGTCTATCCAGCCTGGTAACACCTTGTGTTCATGCTCATATTTGTGTTCAAGCTCTAGAATTTTTCTTGCCACCTCCTAAACTTCAAGTCATACATTTCTGTACCCCATGAATGATAATGACTATAAATATGTTACTCTTTGTACTTCAATTCTATTATTTATTTTTATTTTACTAGAGCCACCTAAAGACACTCCACTTTATCCATCCTATCCAAGGCAGTGCATCTGTTTTTTTCCGTGCCCAGAACCATGGGCTGACAGATCAAAATAATCAGAAAATTGTAAGTAAAATGAAGAAGGGAAAAAAATAAAAGAGTCATTGGACTAGCTTCACAGTGACAGAGCTGGAGGAGACATTAGAAGTATTCTAGTCTAAATTTCTCAGATAATGGATGAGGGTTTTGTAAGAACATACAACCCAAGACTAAAGATTATATCTCTGCATCCTGGTCAAATTTTTTTTCCAAAATCTCACACTGCCTCAAAGTGGTTGGGTTTGCTTGTTTTGAAAAACAAAGTAAAACATTTATTTTACCTACATGTGAAAATAAGAACAGAGAAAAATAAAACTGTCAACAACAAACACAATAGGCAATAAAAGGTCAATAACAAATCTCTATTACTGAGGCAATTAGCAAATCCTGAGTTAACTTATTCCCTTCCTGCCTCATCAAAGAGTGAATCTAGCTGTGGGCAGAGCAAAGTGGCCATATAGAAGCCTCCACCAGTTGCTCCTCTTGCAGGGACACCAAATTTAACAGCTATCTACAAAAAAAATAAAGCATTTTCATAAGAATAAAAAATCAAATACCAGCTTGGGCACAGTGGGGTAGAACACCAAGCAGCCTCTTGGGATCACAATTCCAGGCCTTGGCTATTTGACAGCATTTCTGGACCTAACCTGGGCCAGAGGGGAGCCCACCACCCTGACGGGTGACTCTTAAGACCAAGCAGCATTCACAACAAACTGACTTAAGAGACCTTGAGCATTAAGTGAACATTGGCAGTACTCCGCATGGCCGTGTCATGGTGGTGGCCATGAAGTGAGGCTCCTCTGCTTGTGGAAAGAGGTGGGAAGAGTGGGACAAACTTAATCTCTATGACAGAGCTGGAGGAGACATTAGAGGCATTCTAGTCTAAATTCCTCGAGAACAAATGAGAGTTTCATAAGGTTCAGTTCAGCAGCAGTACAGTAGAGCACCAAGTAGACTTTTTAAGGTATTCTACTCTGGTCCCTGGCTCCCAAATGACATTTCTAGAACCATCCAAGGCCAGGAAGAACTCACAGCCCCAAAGGGAAGGAAACAAGCCTGGATGGCTTTGCCCCCTGCTGATTGCAGAGGCCTAGGATCTTAAGCAAACATATGTGGTAACCAGGTTGTGGTTACAGTAGGCCTTGGGCAAGACCCAGTACAGAGCTCGCTACAGGTCTGACCCAGCACAGTTTCAGTGGTGGTGGTCACAAGGGTGCTTGTGTCACCTAACTCCCATATCCAGGTGTCTCAACACAGAGGTACTCCATTTATTTGGGAGAAAGCAAGGGAAGAAAACAAGAGTCCCTGCCTAGTAATCCCCAGAATTTTTCTGGATCTTATTCAAGACCACCAAGAGGGTACTTCAACAAGTCTGCAAGAACTACAGCCTTACTGGGCTTGGGGTGCTCCCTGATGGAGATGCAGCTTAGATCACAATACCAAAGTCCTTTTGAATGCCTGGAAATCCTTTTCATAGAGGAAGGGTACAAACAAGCCCTGACTATGAAGACTACAATAAATACCTAACTCTTCAATGCCCAGACACCAACTAATGTCCACAAGCATCAAAACCATCCAGAAAAACATGACCTTGCCAAATGAACTAAATAAGTCACCAGTAACCAATCCTGGAGAGATAGAGACATGTGATCTTTCAGACAGGGAATTCAAAATAGCTGCATTGAGAAAACTCAACAAAATTAAAGATAACACAGAGAAAAAAATCAGAATTTATCAGATAAATTTAACAAAGAGATTGAAGTAATTAAAAATATGCAGGAATTCTGGAGTTGAAACATGTAATTGACACACTGAAGAATGCATCATAGTGACTTAAAGAAGAATTAATCAAGCAGAAGAAAGAATTTATGAGCTTGAAAACAGGCTATTTGAAAATACACAGTCAGAGGAGACAAAAGCAAAAATAATATAGCAGAAACACCTAGAGGACTTAGAAAAATAGTCTCAAAAGGGAAAATCTGAGAGCTATTGACCTTAAAGAGAAGAAAGAGAAAAAGATAAAGGTAAAAAATTTACTCAAAGTCATAACTAACTAACTTGAACTACTTAAATCCAGATAAAAATATCAACATTGAAGCACAAGAAGGTTATAGAACTCAAAGCAGCTTTAAGCCAAATAAGACCACATCAAGGCATTTAATAATCAAACTTCCAAAGGTCAAAGATAAAGAAAGGATCCTAAAAGCAGCAAGAGAAAAGAAACAAATAACATACAATTGAGCTCCAATATGACTGACAGCAGTAATATCAGTGGAAACCTTACAGGGCGGGAGAGAGAGGAATGACAGATTTATAATGCTGAAGGGAAAAAAGCCATTTTCCCTTGAAGAGTGTATCCAGTGAAAATACACTTCAAACATAAAGGACAAAAAAGGCTTCCCAGAAAAACAAAGCTGAGAGATTTTCTCAACATCAAAACTGTCCTAGAAGAAATGCTAAAGGAAAATCTTCAGAGAGAAAAGGATGATAATGAGCAATAATAAATCATCTGAAGTTTAAAAACTCACTGGTAAGTACACTGAAAAACACAGAGTATTATAACACTGTAATTATGATGTCTAAACTGCTCTTCTCTAAGCAGAAAAAGTAAAAGATAAACTAATCAAAAATAATAACTAACTACAACTTCTCAACCTTTAGACAGTAAAATAAGATATAAATAGAAACCACAAAATGTTAAAAAGCAGAGTGATAAATTTAAAATATAGAGGTTTTATCAGTTTTATTTTTGCTTGTGTGTTCATGCAATCAGCATTTAAGTTGTCATCAGTTTAGGCTGGGCATGATGATTAGGTTGTCATCATCATTAATTTGTCATCAGTTTAGGCTGGGCAGTTAGGCTGGGCGTGATGGCTCACGTCTGTAATCCCAGCACTTTGGGAGGCTGAAGCAGCTGGATCACCTGAGGTCAAAAGTTCAAGACCAACCTGGACAACATGGCAACATGGTGAAACACCGTCTGTACTAAAAATACGAAAACTAGCAGGGCATGGTGGTTTACAACTGTAGTCCCAGCTACTCAGGAGACTGAGGCAGGAGAATTGCTTGAACCTGAAAGGCAGAAGTTGCAGTAAGCCGATGTCACACCACTGCACTCCAGCCTGGGTGACAGAGCAAGACTCTGTCTCAAACAAAAAAAAAGTTATCATCCATTTAAAATAATGGGTTATAAGATAGTATTTGCAAGCATCATGATAACCTCAAATCAAAAAACATACAATGGATATGCAAAAAATGAAAAGCTAGAAATTAAATCATGCCACTAGAGAAAATCACCTTCACTAAAACAAATACAGAAAGGAAGGAAAGAAAGAAGAGAAGATAAAAATACAACCAGAAAACAAATAAAATGGCAAGAGTAAGTTTTTACTTGTCAGTAATAACACTGAATGTAAGTGAACTAAACTCGCCAATCAAAAGACATAGAGTGGCTGTATAGATAAAACAACAAGACCCAACGGCCTGTTGCCTACAAGAAAAACACTTCATATAAAGACACACATAGAATGAAAATACAGAGATGAAAAAAAATTCCATGCAAATGGAAACCAAAAAAAGAATAGGAGTTGCTATACCTGTATTAGACAAAATAGATTTCAAACATAAACCATAAAGAGAAAATTTTTGCCATTATATAATGATATAGGGGTAAATTCAGTAAGAGGATATAACTATTTTAAAGATACATATACCCAACACTGAAGCACCCAGATATATAATGTTAATATTATTAGAGGTAAAGAAGGAGATAGATCCCAATACAATAATGACTGGAGACCTCAACAGCCCACTTTCAGCACTGAAGAGATCACGCAGACAGAAAATCAAGGAAGAAACATGGAACTTAGTCTGCACTATTAACCAAATGAACTTAATTGGTATTTACAGAACATTCCATCCAACGGCTGCAGTATACACATTCTTCTTCTCAGCACAGAAGTCACTCTCAAGAATAGTGTTAGGTCATAAAACAAGTCTCAAAACATTCAAAAAATTGAAATAATATTAAGCATCTTCTGTTACCACAATGGAATAAAGCTAGAAATAAATAAGAGAAATTGTGGAAACTACACAAATAGAAATAAAACCATATGCTCCTGAATGATTAATGGGTCCATAAATTAAGAAGGAAATTCAAAAATTGTTTCAAACAAGTGATAATGGAAACACAACATACCAAAACCTTTGTAATAAGGTGAGAGCAGTACTATGAGTGACATTTATACCTATAAGCACTTACATCAAATAAGAAGAAAATCTTCAAATAAATGGCCTCAAGATGATGCATCTTTTTAAAAAACAATCTTCATTTTAAGATTTAAGAAATAAGTTTTTCTTTATTTTCTTTTAATTTCTATTTTTAGTTCTGGGATACATGTGCTGGATGTGCAGGTTTGTTACATAGGTAAACATGTACCATGATGGTTTGCTGAACTTATTAACCCATCACCTAGATATTAAGTTCACCACGCATTAGCTATTTTTCCTAATGCTCTCTCACCCCCCCACCACACCCCCCAACAGGCCCCCGTGTGTGTTGTTCTCCTCATCGTGTCCATGTGTTCTCATTGTTCAACTCCCACTTATGAGTGAGAACATGCGGTGTTTGATATTCTGTTTCTACATTAGTTTGCTGAGCATAATGGCTTCAAGCTTCATCCATGTCCCTGCAAAAGACATGATCTTGTTCTTTTTATGGCTGCATAGTATTCCATGGTATGTGTATACATATATATATATATATATATATACGTATATAGATATATGTATATATATATGTGTATAGATATATGTATGTATATATATATGTGTATATATATATATGTATATATATATATACACCACATTTTCTTTATCCAGTCTATTTTGATGAATATTTGAGTTGATTCCATGTCTTTGCTATTGTGAATAATACTGCAATAAATATAAGCACGCATGTATCTTTGTAATAGAATGATTTATATTCCTTTGGGTATATGCCCAGTACTGGGATTGCTGGGTCCAAAGGTATTTCTGGTTCTAGATCTTTGAGGAATCACCACATCATCTTCCAAAATGTTTTAACAAATTTACATTCCACCAACAGTGTAAAAGCATTCCTATTTCTCTGCAATCTCACCAGCATCTGTTGTTTTTTGACTTTTTAATAATTGTCATTCTGACTGGCATGAGATAGTATCTCATTGTGGCTTTGATTTGCATTTCTCTAATGATCAGTGATGTTGAGCTTTTTTTCAGTTTTTTGGGCACATGAATGTCTTCATCTGGGAAATGTCTGTTCATATCCTTTGCCCACTTTTTAATAGGGTTGTTTTTTATTGTAAATTTGTTTAAATTCCTTGTAGATTCTTGATATTAGAATTTTGTCAGATGAATAGATTGCAAAAATTTTCTCCCACTTTGTAGGTTGCCTGTTCGCTCTAATGATAGTTTATTTTGCTGTGCAGAAGCTCTTTAGTTTAATTAGATCATATTGGTCAATTTTTGCTTTTGTTGCAATTGCTTTTGGTGATTGCATCATGAAATCTTTTCCCATGACTATGTGCCTATTTTTGTACCAGTACTGTGCTGTTTTGGTTACCATAGCCTTCTAGTATAGTTTGAAGTTGGGTAGCATTATGCCTCCAGCTTTGTTCTTTTTGCTTAGGATTGTCTTGGCTATACAAGCCCTTTTTGGGTTCCATATGAATTTTAAAAATAGTTTTTTTTTTTCTAATTCTGTTAGGAATGTCAATGGTAGGTTAAAGGGAATAGCATTGAATCTATAAATTATTTTGGAAGTACAGCCATTTTCACGATATTGATTCTTCCTATCCATGAGCTTGAAGTGTTTTTACATTTGGTTGTGTCCTCTCTGGTTTCCTTGAGCCGTGGTTTTTAGTTCTCCTTGAAGAGGTCCCTTACTTCCCTTGTTAGCTGTATTTCTAGGTATTTTATTCTCTTTGTAGCAATTGTGAATTGCAGTTTATTTATGATTTGGCTCTCTGCTTTCCTGTTGTTAATGTATAGGAATGATCGTGACTTCTGTACATTGATTTTGTATCCTGAGACTTTGCTGAAGTTGCTTATCAGCTTAAAAAGCTTTGGTGCTGAGACGATGAGGTTTTCTAGACATAGGATTATGTCATCTGCAAGGAAAGACACTTTGACATCCTCTCTTGCTATTTGAATATGCTTTATTTCTTTCTCCTGACTGATTGCCCTAGCCAGAACTTCCAATACTGTGTTAAATAGGAGTGGTGAGGGACAGCATCCTTGTCTTGTGCCAGTTTTCAAGGGGAATCCTTCCAGCCTTTGCCCATTCAGTATATTGGCTGTGGGTTTGTCATAAATGTCTGTTATTATTTTGAGGTGTGTTTCTTCAATACCTAATTTATTGACAGTTTTTAACATGAAGAGATGTTTTATTTTATCAAAGGTCTTTTCTGCATCTATTAACATAATTATGTGTTTTTGTCTTTAGATCTGTTTATGTGATAAATGATGCTTATTGATTTGTTTAGGTTTAACCAGCCTTCTATCCCAGAAATAAAGCCAACTTGGTCATAGTGGATAAGCTTTTTGATGTGGTACTGTATTCTGTTTGCCAGTATTTTACTGAGAATTTTTGCATTGATGTTCATCAGGGATATTGACCTAAAGTTTTCTTTTTTTGTTGTATCTCTTCTAGGTTTTGGTATCAGGATGATGCTGGCCTTATAGAATGAATTAGGGAGGAGTTCCTCCATTTCAATTGCTTGGAATAGTTTCAGAAGAAATGGTGCCAGCTCCTCTTTTTGCCTCTGATAAAATTCAGCTGTAAACCCATCTGGTCCTGGGCTGTTTTGGGTTGGTAGGCTATTTATTACTTCCTTAATTTCAGAACTTGTTATTGGTATATCTAGGGATTCAACTTCTTCCCGGTTAAGCCTTGGGAGAGTGTGTGTGTTCAGGAATTAATCTATTTCTTCTAACTTTTCCAGTTTATTTGCACAGAGCTGTTTATAATATTCTCTGATTGATGCTTGTATTTCTGTGGGGTCAGTGGTGATAACCCCTTTTATCATTTTTTATTGTGACTACTTGATTCTTCTCTTTTTTCTTTATTAGTCTAGCTAGCAAACTATCTTTATGTTATTATTTTTTTTCAAAAAATCTGTTCCTGGATTCATTGATTATTCAAAGGGTTTTTCATGTCTCTATCTGCTTTAGTTCTGCTCTGAGCTTGGTTATTTTTTTTGTTTTCTGCTAGCTTTGGGGTTTGTTTGCTCTTGGTTTTCTAGTTATTTTAGTTGTGATGCTAGGATATCAATTTGAGATCTTTCTACCTTTTAGATGTGGGCATTTAGTGCTATAAATTTCTTTTTTAACACTGCCTTAGCTGTGTCCCTGAGATTCTGGTATGTTGTCTCTTTGTTCTCATTGGTTTCAAAGAACTTTCTAATTTCCACCTTAATTTTGTTATTTACCCAGGAGTCATTCAGGAGCAGTTTGTTCAATTTTCATGTAACTGTGTGGTTTTGAGTGAGTTTCTCAATCTTGAGTTCTAATTTGATTGTGGTGTGGTCTGAGAGACTATTTGTTATGATTTCAGTTGTTTTGCATTTGCTGAGGAGTGATGTACTTCCGATTATTTCATCCATTTTAGAATAAGCGCCATGTATTACTGAGAATAATGTATAGTCTGTTGTTTTTGAATGGAGAGTTCTGTAGATATATATATATCAACTTGATTCAGAGCTGAGTTCAAGTCCTAAATATTTTTGTTAATTTTCTGTCTCAATAATCTGTCTAATATTGACATTGGAGTGTTAAAGTCTTCCAATATCATTGTATGGGAGTCTAAGTCTCTTTGTAGGTCTCTAAGAACTTGTTTTATTAATCTGGGTGCTCCTGTATTGGTTGCATATATATTTAGGATAGTTAGATCTTCTTGTTGAATTGACCCCCTTTACCATTACGTAATGCCTTTTTTTTGTCTTTTTTCTTAAATCTTTGTTGGTTTAATGTCTGTTTTGTCAGAAACTAGGATTGCAACCCCTGCTTTTTTTCTGTTTTCCATTTGCTTGATAAATTTTCCTCCATTCTTTTATTTTGAGTCTATGTGAGTCTTTACATGTGAGATGGGCCTCTTGAATACAGCATACTGAAGCATTTTGAGTCTTTATCCAGTTTTCCACTCTGTCTTTTAGTTGGGACATTTAGCCCATTTACATTTAAGACTAATATTGTTATGTGTGAATTTGATTCTGACATCATGATGCTAGTTGGTTAGTTTGCAGACTTGTTTATGTGTTTGCTTCATAGTGTAATTGGTCTTGTGTACCTCAGTGTGTTTTTGTAGTAGCTGGTAGTGCTTTCTCATTTCCATATTTAGTGCTTCTTTCAGGTGCTCTTGCAAGGCACCTGGCAGTGATGAAATCCCTCAACATTTGTTTGTCTGAAAAAGATTTTATTTCTCCTTCTTGTATGAAGCTTCGTTTGGCTAGAAATGAAATTCTAGGTTGGAAATTCTGTTTTTTTTTAAAGAATGTTGAATATCAGCCTCCAATCTCTTCTGGTTTTTAGGGTTTCCACTGATAGGTTTGCCGTTAGTCTGATGGGCTTCCTTTTATAGGTGACCTGGTCTTTTCCTCTGGCTGTCCTTAACATTTTTTCCTTCATTTTGACCTTGGAGAATCTGATGATTATTTGACTTGGGTTGATCTTATGGAGGATGGGTATCTTACCTCACAGGAGTTCCCAGAGCCAGAGATTGCAAATACTCCTGCGTCTTAGTGCCTGCTCCAGAGGACTCCTGCCCAAAGAGCCAGGGTGAGTCTCCACAGCTTTGTGCTTGAGACCCAAGCCTCTAATGCTGTGGACTTAGGAGGGGACCTTCTGATCCATTAGTTGCAAGGATCTGTGGGAAAAATGTAGTTTCCAGGGAGGAGAAGCACAATCCCTCACCACCTCCCTTGGCTGGGAAACAGAGTTCCTTTTGCCCCATGTAGCTCCCATGTGGACCCTCACTCCACCCAGTGTTTTCTTGCTCTCTGTTGGTCATGCCAACCAACTAGTCAGTCCCAGTGAGAGAACCTTGGTTCCTCAATTGAAGATGCAGAATTCACTCTCTGTTTTCATCCTTCTTAGTGGGAACCACAGAGTGGAGCAGTTTCTATTCAGCCATTTTGGTTGCCTTCCAAGATGCATCTTAAGGAAATGGAGAAGCAAGAGCAAAACAAATGTGCAATTAGTAGAAGAAAAGAAATAATCAAGATCAGAGCATAAATAAATGAAACTGAAATGAAAGAATCAGTACAAATTTCAACAAAACAAAAAGCTGGTTTCACGAAAAAATAAACAAAATTGGCAAACCTCTGCACAGAATAACTAAGAAAAAAAGGGAATACAACTGAAATAAATAAAATCAGAGACGAAAAAGGAGACATTACAACTGATACTGCAGAAATGCAAAGTATCATCAGTGACTACTATGAGCAACTATATGCCAATAAATTGGAAAATCTAGAAGACAAAGATAAATTCCTAGACACCTACAACCTATAAAGAAATGCAAAACCTGAACAGATCAATAACAAGTAACAAGCTTGAAGTCACAGTGAAAGTTATCCTAACAAATAAAAGTCTGGGACCTGATGACTTCCCTGCTGAATTCTATGAAACACTTAAGGCATAATACCAAACCTATTCAAGCTATTCTGAAAAATACAGGAGGAGGCAACAATTGTTACATGGTTTCTAAAAGCTAAGATTTGAATGCAACTTAAGTGTTCATCAACAGAGGAATGGATAAAGAAAATGTGGTACAAATATGCATCATGGAATACTATTCAGCCACAATAAATCATGATGTTCTGTCATTTGTAACAACATGGATGGACCTGTTGGTCATTAAGTGAAATAAGCCAGACACGAAAAGACAAACCTTGCATATTCTCAGTTATATGAGTGAGTTATAAATTAAAATTAAAATAATGAAACTCATAGAGGTAGATATTACAAAAGCCTGTTACCAGAGCCTGTGAAAGGTAGTGGAATGTCAAGAGACGGAAGTGGGGTTGATGAACAGGCACACAATAGTAGTTAGAAAGTATGAATAAGATCAAGTATTTGATAGCACAACAGGGTGACTATAGTCAGTAATTGAATTGTACATTAAAAAAACTAAAAGACTATAATTATACTTTTTGTAACACAAAGGAGAGATTTTTTAGGTGATAGATACCCCATTTACCTTTATGTGTGACTCACTGCATTCCTGTTTCAAAATATGCCACGTGCCCCAGAAATATATACGCATACTACATACCCACAAAAATTGCAAATTAAAAATGTAAAAGAAAATGTGGCTCTATTTCTCCTCTGCTCTCCATATCCTCTGTTGTGGCATTGGCATTCTCTTTGCTTCCATCACCACTTCAATATGAAAACTCTCCTTTCCTCATGTACAAAAATCTTTGTCCTCTTAGATTCATGCCACCTAGCTATACTATTCTTTCCCTCCACTTTGGCGCTACCTGTTGATCACTGTCTCATTTTTTTCATGATGACCCTATCTCCACAATGATTTGCCACTTCGTATTTTGAAGCCTCCAAAGAGACTTCAATGTCCATTTCACTATTTCACCTACTACTTTAACCTAACAGTTCCTTGACCTTTTAAACTACAATGAATTTATTTACAAACTCGGCTTCAGTTGCATATTCCTCTGGCCACATATAAATATTGTCATAAGGTAAAGCTGCTTTACAATTAAAACACAAATTCAGGTGTTTCACTAATGGACTCCAAGACAATGAACCTTCACATCTCTCACTTTTTTCTCTGTTAATGCTTATTTCCTTCAGATCTCTCACTTTTTTCTCTGACAATGCTTATTTTGTGACCTACAGTCATTCAACACCTCTCTTTATCTCAGTGCATAATTTGTCTCTTGCTTTACTTCCTTCTCTATTTAGTCTGGACACCAGAGACCTCACCTGAACTTCTCTTTTTCTAAGACTCTCAACAACCTTTTTCTTTTATCATTGAATCATGTCTGCCCTACTAAACCCTAGTCCTGATGCAAACTAAGCATCTTCTTTTTTTTTTTCTGTTGTACCCAAGCACCCGAGTGCTGCAAAAGGATAAAAATGCATAATAATGAAAAGAATGACTGCAAGTCCCATCTAACAGAGCTTCAGTGTAGCTCAGAAATTTTTCTAGTAAACACCTTTTCCCATTCTCAAGAGCAATTCCAAACCTCTCTTCAGAATCCTCACCACAACTCCCCCTCCCTTTGAGCAGATGACATTGCCAAGACCAGCTTGGTCAGGGAGGCCCTATCCCAGCAGCGTTAGAGGAATTAAAGACACACACACAGAAATATAGCTTGTGGAGTGGGAAATCAGGGGACTCACAGCCTTCAGAGCTGAAAGCCACAAACAGAGATGTACCCACATATTTATTGACAGCAAGCCAGTGATAAGCATTATTTCCATAGATTATAAATTAACTAAAAGTATTCCTTATGGGAAACAAAGGGATGGACCGAAACAAAGGGATGGGCTCTGGCTAGTCATCTGCAGCAGGAACATGTCCTTAAGGCACAGATCGCTCATGCTATTGTTTGTTGTTCAGGAACGCCTTTAAGCAGTTTTCCACCCTGGGTGGGCCACGTGTTCCTTGCCCTCATTCCGGTAAACCCAAAACCTTCAGCGTGGGCATCATGGCCATCATGAAGATGACACAGTGCTGCAGATATTTTATTTATGGCCAGTTTTGGGGCCAGTTTATGGCCAGATTTGGGGGCCCATCCCCAGCATGACATCACCTCCTACTTACCAGAGAAAAGATGTTAGGAACACCCATGACTTCCTGCTTCAAACTCTACAAATTTCTCTGCATCTGTAGCTGTCCTTAAAACATTTCTTCCTGATAGCTCAGTGGAAAGAATTACTCCTTTTCCTCTTCAGTGCTTATCTCATCCTCTCCTGCTTCCCCAACAACCTTGCTCTTGCCCCCTCACTGTCTCTTTCCCTTTAGCATATGAATTGGTTCAAGTAGCTCCACCTTAAAAGTAACCACAATAATATCAATAACAGTAATTCCCTGGGTCCTGTTTTCCCCTCTAATTTTCTCTATCCTACTTTCTTTCACAGACAACCTTTTAAAAAATAGGCTCTCTCCATATCCTCACCACCAATTTACTCCTCAATGTGCAGTAATTTGGCTTCTATTCCAACCACTATTCCCACAAAGGCTACTGATGGCTTCTTAGTTTCTAAGGTCACTGGACTATTTTAATTATGAGCCTACTTAACCTGTTAATTTATAACTAATTAAAGCATATTCTCTTTGTTGTGAAATTATCTTCTCCTATTTCTCTAACTACTAGTTTCCTTCATCTTTTTTATGGTGTTCTTTATAGTTTCATCATTGGGTCATTTTTTATTCAATATATTCTCATTTGGTCCATATCCTATCCAAGGCTTGTCTTTTGCACTCCAGATCCATGTTTCAACTGTATATGAGACATCTCCATCTGAATTGGCAACAAGTACCTCTATCTCAAAATTTCCAAACACGTAACTTTTTTCCTTGTCTTAACTCAAACACAATTCTCCTTTTCCAATATTTCCTATCTTTGTATTAGCACAAACATACACCCAATTACCCAAGTCATAAATCTTGGTATCATCATGAAAAAATCTTGGTATCACCCCGCCACCTTCTCATAATTGATCACGATATAACTGGTTATAAACAACTATTTTTCCCTCTTCTTCATTCCCCTTATTTTTAAATGAAAACCTCAGCATTTGTCATCTTAACTAACAAGAGTCCCCTAAATGTTCAGTTTGCCTTTTTTTCTCCCCTTCCTAATCCATTTTCCACAGAGAATTCAGAATATTCTTCCTAAAGCCCAAAAATAATCATGTCATTTAACTTCTCAAAATCTGTCAGTGCCTGTGGGTCATGTGCACAATAACTGCAAGCACTTTAGTATAAAATGTAAAGCCAGTGTACTAGTTTTATTCATCTATTTGTCATAATGTGCAGCCCTTTATGGAAAATTCTTTTTGAATCATATTCCTAAAGGAAGACATAATCATTTCACCAAATATATTCCTTCCAAAGGACATTAAAAATGTGAAAATGCCAAATTTTCCAAAATAGCATATTATCTATTTTATCATTCATGGATCCCAAAAGCAAGGACACAAAGTCAACTAAATTGTTTGAGCAAGTGAATGAACAGAAGCAAGATGCTAAACCCCAGAGTTTCAATGTGAGGATAGTGGTGAGACACATTTCATGCTCCTAGTATTATCTGTCCTTAAAGCTACATGACAGAAATATCATGGTGAGATGTCTGGCACTTTTTCTTATCTGAGGACTGTGAAGATTAGCACTAAGAAAGCTGAATTTAAGACAATTTATATTTGATCTAAAATACCTTAGGAAGGCAGTGACTATTTGGAATGCCTTGAATTTTGAAAATTGGTGTTGATGAAAAAGACATTTTTCTTTTAGAAATGCAAAAGAAAGATAAATGGCATTACAGTCATATATATCTGTGTCTGAACCTTGGCAGCTGCCCACTAGCTGTAGAAACTTAAGAAAGCTATTTAATCTCTGTGAAGTAAAATTATCTGAAAAATTGAGATAATAATACTTATGCTACTTGCATCACAGGATTGTTATGATAATTAATAGATAAAACTGTGTGTAAGGAACTACTTGGCACATAGCAATGGTCCAACAAATTTCCCATACCTTCACTACTATATTATCTTAAATTTGAATACATTTTCAATAACTTTCATGAATTTTCTGTACAAATAAATAAATAAAGAGATCATGGGGAAAGAGCATATGATTGCATTGAAAGAGCTAAGGAAAATAAACTTGATATAAACTTATCATAATCCTTTTTTAAGATACTGATGGAGCAAATCCACTGTCCAGCACACTTTAAGTCTCTCACAAATTATTTTTCAAAGAGGAACAAAATAGAAAGGGAAGAAGTGAGGAACTAACCTAATAAAATAGCTCCTGAGAATTAGGCCATCAGTGGGCAGAATATATCAGGTTGTCTCACAACAGTGCCCATATTCTCACCTCTTTATCTTTGACTATACCTCCAGACTCCCAATATAGGCTCCTTTTCTAGATTATGCCTTCCAGGACCTTAGTCATTAGGTTTATTGCTCTGTTATCTACCCTAAAACCTATCAATTCCCTTGTCTTAGAGCACAAACAATGCTTACCTCTGTTTTCTATTTCTATCCAGTTCTGGCATCACCTAAGGCAATGACTGTGAGCATGGCACAAAACTGCGAGACCTACTTTGTCCCAAATTTACCTTCAATCCGTGCTCATAATTTGGATTGCTTCTACCAAACAGCAATTTAAGCACATAAAGGAAAATGAATAAGATAGTGATAGATAGATGATAGATAGACAGATAGATACATAGATAGATACATAGATAGATAGATTAATCAGTAGGCAGTAGATAGATTTTAATTGGATAAAAAAGAAATTCAGGAGTGTATCTGGTAAAAGTATGCCCTCCAAAGCTTTTAGGCATAAGCATTTGTAAGGTGTATCAGTCCATTTTCATGCTGCTAACAAAGACATACCCAAGACTGGGTAATTTAAATAGGAAGAAGTGTTTAATTGGACTTACAGCTCCATGTGGCTAGGGAAGCCTCACAATAATGGCAGAACGTGAGGAGGAGCACGTCACATCTTACATGTATGTCAGCAGGCAAAGAGAAAATCAGAACTAAGTGAAATGGGTTTCCTCTTTTCAAACCATCAGATCTCATGAGACTTATTCATTACCACAGAGCAGGGTGAAAGAAACTACCCCATAATTCAATCATCTCCCATCAGGTCCCTCCCACAACATGTGGGAATTATGGGAGTACAATTCAAGATGAGATTTGGGTGGAGACACAGAGCCAAACCACATAAGTTGTGTCTGGAAAGTGGATTTAGTGCACCAAAGGATTATGTCAGACAGATTGGAAATGTTGGGCATTACCAGGAATGCACAAAGACTGTGAATGCTCTAATGGTCACAGTACCAGAGATGGAAGTCTTGGAAAATTTTGACATTAGGCCTCCCATTTATACCTTCTGTTTCTTCACCATGTGACACCCAAACTGCAGACAAGAAGTCTGGCCATTAAGTTTAACTTCTGTAGGCTGAGGTCTCTAAAAAAAGAGAGCCTATTCTCATTTTAGAGTGATTTGGTCTCCATAATTATACTTGTGGTTGCTGCTGCGTTTGTGAAAAGATTGCCCTGGCAACTTGAGGTGGGGGAGAGGAAAGAAGCTTAGAGTAACAACACATGGAAATCAGCAAACCATCCTATTGATACAAACAGCAGCAGAGGGATTCTCCATCTCCAAATTTTCTTCTGCATGCCCATGTGACATGTTTCCAAGAGGCAAGCATTGGTATCTACAAAACAGAATCTAATCAATTAAATAAAACAACTCTCATATCATAGACCTACTTGTAGTCTCTAATCCCCTTTCTGAAGGGTTTCTAGCAAAATAGAACAAATTTAAAGAAAGTGTTGTGTGATACTTTAAGCTTTGGCATGTTAAATTATATGTTAGCTCAAATCAGGGCCACGGCCACTTAGGGAGTATCGTGAAGGGAAAGATCTTATTGCCATGGAAATGCTCAGGGAGGCTGATCCTCTGTGATGTGATTTGAGTTGAATTGGTTTTGTTGTTACTGTTTTCATTTCTTTTTCTTTCCTAATCTGCCTAATATTTAGGCTTTATTGATAATTATCTTGGCTCTCATTATGTGCTTCTCTTTTTAAAATAAAACAAAAAAATGCATACGAATAGACTTACTTATTTCATAATAATGCAATCAGTTATTATCACACACGTGCAGATAGAATCCTATTTTAATAAACTACATGGGGAAAGCCAATTTTTTTTATTGATGTGGGATTTCATTGTCCCAATTACTAGAAATCATATTCCTAGACCTCAAGCACTGTGGTGAAACAGATTAAATTTCCAGCCTCTTCATATCCACCTCCCTCCCTATCGAATATAGCACACAAAGGAACTGTCCAGTACATTTGCAAGTTAAACAAAGTGCTTTGAAGATAAAGGGGAAAGGAGGAAAATTCCCTAAATAAAGAGTCATTCATTCAAAAAAAAAAAAAAGGTGTAATGGGGTTGGCATCATTCATCGATTTCTGTCTTCCACACAGCTATTCCCTATGACTCTAGCTCATGGATGTATGTGAGTGATATGTAGTTGGAGGGGAATATTTGCATGATCTTATTCATTTCAATGAGTGGTTTGGAAGTTTAGATAAGTTTTCCTAATGGGATGTTTGGAATTTTGGAGATGGACAAGGATTAAGAGAAGTCAAGGGGTAATTACTATGTGAAGGCCATCTAAACAAAATACAATAGCTGGGAAGGACTCTGTGTCTATTCCTTTTCATTATGTATTTGCTTGTATGTATGCCTTTATTTTTTACTTATACTTTACTTGTTTCCAGCAAAAATTTTTCAGTCTTTTGATAGAAGACATGTACAATTAGAGCCATTAAAGAGAGATTAAAAAGTCATATTTTCACAATTCTTGCAGAATCAGATAGGATCATTCTAGATATTTAAGTGAATGTAATTTGGGGATTCCTGGATGTAAAACCAAAAAGGGAAATTTGATAGTTATACAGTGAACATTGTCCAATAAATAAAATAATAATAGCTCTTCAAGAAATAAACTAGAAACCCCATGCAGGAGAGACTATACCAATCTTGTGATTAGCACAGGATCCGGCATATATGTTAGGAGATTCATAATTATTTATTGTATGAATAAATGAAGTTTTAATGAGTTTTTTGAGAGTAAAGACTATGACTCAACTCTATTTGCATCACAAGCACTTATCAGTGTGTCCCATAGTAAGTACTCAATGGCTGTCTGTGGACACGCATGAAAGAAAGTAAATTTTTCCTAGAGCTAGTCTCTAATAAGAATTTAATAAGTGTATATATGAGGGACAGGAAAAAACATTAGTCACTCTAGTTTTTGGTAGTAGTTTTATGGTATGTGTTGTCACATTTGTCATTTGGTCCTTTCTCATGTTGTCTTTCAGTGAAAATCAAAGACATAATAATAATACACAACCTTCTTACTGCTAAATCCAAGAATGCTCATTCCTTAAAGGACTTGCCTTTTTGTCAGCATTTGATATTTTTGACAACTCTTTCCTGATTGCTCTCTTCCAGTGGCTTTTGTAGTGTAATCCTTACCAGGATTCACTCTTACATCTCTAGTCACTCTTTGTTACTCTCCTTCTCTACCTGCCATTTGAATGTTGGTGTTCCTCAGGGTTCCATCCCTGTCCCGCTATAATTTTTAGTCCAAATAATTTATATGAATAATCTCATCCATCCCCATGTGTTTATCCACCATCTCTGGTTTGATGTCCATTTGCCTAATCCAGATTGTTTCTCCTGGGATTCAAATGGACATATGTAACTGCTTAGTAGAACCTTCATTTGGAAGGCCCACATACATCTCAAATTCAACAAATCTAAAATTGAACACATTACCTTTTCCTCTACCTGTGTTCCTTGTCTCAGTGAATGACAAAATTATGCACATAGTTGTTCATTACCCTCGATGTCCCTCACACATCGTACTCAATAACTATATCTTGCAATTAATATTAAAGGAAGGTATATATCTATCTAATATCTTGATTTTATCCAAGGATTTGTTTACAAGTACTTCTCTTATGTATTGATTGCCTGAACCCAGCTCAATTATAATATAAACTGTCATTTATTATCTATTTTGTACTAGGAACTATACTAGATGCTTTACATTGATCTCCTCATTTGATCCTCACAACAACCCTACAAAATAACTCCATTTTAAGATGAAGAAAATGGAGTCCAGGAAGGTCATGTTTCTTGTGCAAAAGGGAGAGGGACATTCCCAAGTTACAGAATCACAGTGCTTCCTTCTTTTCCCCTCCTTAGCTTCAGCTGCAGCTCTGGGGCTGGTACTGTGAACTAATCAAAGTGACCAAAGGCAAAAGCATCACTCTTCAAGTAAGTATGAAGCACATCCAGCCTTCTTAGCATCTCCAGGGAAGCAGCTCTAACACTGCACCAAGTTAGTGCTGAAAAGGATCTTGACAATTGTCTAGTATGCTCCCTTCCTTTTACCCATAAGGCAACTTGGACCTAAAAAGAGGAAGAATTTTTTTTAATTGTCATACAGCTATTCAGGGGCAAGTTCTATACGAAATTTCCATTTTTTGACGCATATTCTATATATACTTATGTAACTACCAGGTTTGGGGTGGCACTAACTTATCTCTAATTGTTACAACCGTCTTAAGTGGTAAATGTTATTATATATTTTCATTTTATAAGGAAGAAGCTGTAATCTAGAAGAGTCAGGTAATTTGCCAAAAACCTTGTAACTACAATGTGAAAAAGTTGAGATTTATGACTTGGGAGGATGGCGGATGGGAGGAAGGACTAGATTGCAGCTCCCACTCGGACAGACAGAGCAGTGCATGGAGTCTCACATCATGAACTTTTGCTTCAGATCTGCTGCAAGAATAAATCAAGAAACCTGAGAGAACCCACAGAACCTCTGAAGGAAGCAGATTGCTCCTGCAGGACTCAGAAGATGCCCCAAATACTGTGCTGGTATCCACAGCTGAGAGACCCACAGATGGTTCACATCACAGGACTCCATACAGACAGCCCCCAGAATCAGCTCAGAGCCTGGTAGACCTGCTGGGTGACTAGATGCAGAAGAGAGATAACAACTACTACAGCCCGGCTCTCAGGAAGCCACGTCCCTAGGAAAAGGAGGCGAGTACTACATCAAGGGAACACCTCATGGGACAAAATAATCTGAACAACAGCCTTGAGCCCTAGACCTCTCTTCTGACAGAGCCTACCCAAATGAGAAGGAACCAGAAAATCAACTCTGGTAATGTGACCAAACAACGTTCTTTAACACCCCCCAAAAATTACACTAGCTCACCAGCAATGGATCCAAACCGAGAAGAAATACCTGATTTACGTGAAAAAAATTCAGAAAGTCAGTTATTAAGCTAATCAAAAAGGCACCAGAGCCTTCACCAGAATGAAGCCCTATTTAAATAAACTTTAAAAATACAAGAAATGAGGGGAGAAATCATCAGTTAAATAGATAGCATACATAAAAACAATCAAAACTCCAGGAAAAAATGGACACATTTATAGAAATGCAAAATTATTTGGAAAGTCTCAGCAATAGAATCAAACAATCAGAAGAAAGAACTTCAGAGCTCCAAGACATGGTTTTTGAATTAACCCAATCCAACAAAGACAAAGAAAAAAGAATAAGAAAATATAAGCAAAGACTCCAAGATGTCCGGTATTAGGTTAAATGACCAAACCTAAGAATAAAAATTGGCATTCCTGAGGAAGAAGAGAAATCTAAAAGCATAAAACACATTTTGGGAAATAATTGAGGAAAACTTCCTCAGCATTGCTAGAGACCTAGACATTCAAATATAAGAAGTTCAAAGAACACTTTGGAAATTCATCACAAAAAGATCTTCGCCTAGGCACATTGCCATCAGGTTATCTCAAGTTAAGATGTAGGAAAGAATCTTAAGAATTGTGAGGCAAAGGCATCAGGTAAACTATGAAGGAAAATCTATCAGATTAACAGCAGATTTCTCAGCAGAAACCCTACAAGATAGAAGGGATTGGGGCCCTATCATCAGCCTCCTTAAAAAAAAAAAAAAAATTATCAGCCAAGAATTTGGTATCCAGCAAAACTAACCTTCATAAATGAAGGAAAGATACAGTCTTTTTCCGACAAATGCTGACAGAATTCACCACTACCAAGCCAGCACTACAAGAATGGCTAAAATGAGCTCTAAATCTTGAAACAAATCCTGGAAACACATCAAAACAGAACCTCTTTAAAACATAAATCTCACAGGACCTATAAAACAAAAATACAATTAAAAAAAAGCAAGGTATACAGGAAACAAATAGCATAATAAATGGAATAGTACCTCACATCTCAATACTAATACTGATTGTAAATGTCCTAAATGCTCCAGTTAAAAGATACAGAATTGCAGAATAGATAAGAATTCACCAACCACCTATGTGCTGCCTTCAAGAGACTCACCTAACACAAGGACTCACATAAACTTAAGGTAAAGGAAAAAGACATTCCATGCAAATGGACACTAAAAGCGAGCAGGAGTAGCTAGTCTTATATTGGACAAAAAAGACTTTAAAGCAACAGCAGTTTAAAAAAGACAAAGAGGGACATCATATAATGATAAAAGGCCTTGTCCAACAGGAAAATATCACAATCCTAAATATATATGCACCTAACACTGGAGTCCAAAATTTATAAAACAATTACTAATAGACCTAAGAAATGAGATAGACAGCAACACAATAATAGTGGAGGACTTCAATGCCCTGCTGACAGCACTAGACAGGTTATCAAGACAGAAAGTCAACAAAGAAACAATGGAAAGCCAGGCGCGGTGGCTCACACCTGTAATCCCAGCACTTTGGGAGGCCGAGGCGGGCAGATCATGAGGTCAGGAGATCGACACCATCCTGGCTAACATGGTGAAACCCCATCTCTACCAAAAATACAAAAAAATTAGCCAGGCGTGGTGGCGGGCGCCTGTAGTCCCAGCTGCTGGGGAGGCTGAGGCATGAGAATAGCGTGAACCTGGGAGGTGGAGCTTGCAGTGAGCTGAGATCATGCCACTGCATTCCAGCCTGGGCGACAGAGCAAGACTCTGCCAAAAAAAAAAAAAAAAAAGAAAGAAACAATGGACTTAAACTATACCCTGGAACAAATGGACTTAACAGATATTTGCAGAAGATTCCACCCAACAAACACAGAATATATATTCTATTCATCAGCACATGGAACTTTTTCCAAGATAGACCATATGATAGGTCACTAAACAAGCTTCAATAAATTTGAGCAAATTGAAATGGTGTCAACTACTCTCTCAGACCACAGTGCAATAAAACTGGGAATCAACTCCAAAAGGAACCTGCAAAGATGGAAATTCAAAAAATTCTTCAAACTGAATGAAATAGTGACACAACCTATCAAAACCCCTAAGATACAGCAAAGGCGGTGCTAAGATGAAAGCTCATAGCCCTAAGCACCTACATCAAAAAGTCTAAAAGAACACAAACAGAAAATCTAAGGTCACATCTCAAGGAAATAGAGAAACAAGAACAAACCAAACCCAGACCCAGCAGAAGAAAGAAAATAATGCAGATCAGAGAAGAACTAAATGATATTGAAACAATAATATACAAAAGATATATGAAAAAAAAAACTGGTTCTTTGAAAAGATAACTAAAGTTGATAGACTATTTGCGAGATTAACCATAAAAGCAGAGATAAAATACAAATAAGCTCAATTAGAAACAAAACGGGATATATTACAACTTACACCACAGAAATAAAAAGACCATTCAACACTACTATGAACACCTTTACGTGCATATACTAGATAACCTAGAGGATATGAAAAAATTCCTGGAAAGCTACATCCCTCCTAGCTTAAATCAGGATGAATTAGATACCCTGAACAGACCAATAACATGCAGTGATATTGAAATGGTAATAAAAAAAATACCAACAAAAAAGAAGTCCAGGACCAGTTAGAGTCACAGCGGAATTCTTCCAGACATTTAAAGAAGAATTGGTACCAATCCTATTGACATTATTCCACAAGATAGAGAAAAAGTGAATCCTCCCTAAATCATTCAGTGAAGCCAGTATCACCCTAATACCAAAACCAGAAAAGGACATAACCAAAAAAGAAAACCACAGACCAATATCCCTGATGAACACAGATGTAAAAATCCTTAATAAAATACTATCTAACCAAATCTAACAACATATCAAAAAGATAATCTACCATGATCAAGTGAGTTTCATACCAGTAATGCAGGGTGGGTTTAACATATGCAAGCCAATTAATGTGATACAACACATAAACAGAATTAAAAACAAAAATCACATGATTATCTCAATAGATGCAAAGCACGTGACAAAATTCAGCATCGCTTTATGATTAAAACTCTCAGCAAAATTGGCATACAAGGGACATGCCTCATTGTAATAAAAGCCAACTATGACAAACTCACAGCCAACATAATACTGAATGGGGAAAAGTTGAAAGCATTTCTCCTGAGAACTGGAACAAAACAAGGATAGTCACTCTCACCACTTCTCTTCAACATAGCACTGGAAGTCTTAGCCAGATCACTCAGACAGGAGAAAGAAATCAAGGGCATCCAAATTATTAAAGAAGAAGACAAACTGCTGCTGTTTCCTGATGATATTATTGTATACCTAGGACACCTTAAAGACTCCTCCGAAACGCCCCTAGAACTGATAAAAGAATTCAGCAAAGTTTCTGGATACAAAATTAATGTATACAAATCAGGAGCTCTCCTATACACCAACAGTGACCAAGCTGAGAATCAAATCAAGAACTCAACGCCTTTTACAATAGCTGCAAAAATAAAATAAAATTAAATAAAATATTTAGGAATATACCCAGCCAAGGAGGTGAAAAGCCTCTACAAGGAAAACTACAAAACACTCCTATCAGAAAACAGACAACATAAACAAATGGAAACACATCTCATGCTCATGGATGGGTAGATTAAATATTGTGAAAATGACTATACTGTCAAAAGCAATCAAAAAAGTCAGTGTGATTCCCATCAAAATACCACCGTCCTTCACAGAGCTAGGAAAAAAATCCGAAAATTCATATGGAACCAAAAAAGAGCCCGCATTGCCAAAGCAAGACCAAGCAAAATGAACAAATCTGGAGGCATCACATTACCTGATTTCAAACTATACTATAAGACCATAGTCACCAAAACAGCATGGTACTTGTATAAAAATAGGTGCATAGACCAATGGAACAGAATGGATAACCCAGAAATAAAGCCAAATTCTTACAGCCAAATGATCTTCGACAAAGCAAACAAAAACGTAAAGTGGGGAAAATACATTATTTTCAACAAATTGTGCAGGGATAATTGGCAAGCCACATGTAGGTGAATGAAACTGGATCCTCATCTCTCACCTTATACAAAAATCAACTCAAGATGAATTAAGGACTTAAATCTAAGACCTGAAACCATAAAAATTCTAGAAAATAACATCAGAAAAACCCTTCTAAACATTGGCTTATGCAAGGATTTCATGACCAAGAACCCAAAAGCAAATGCAATACAAACAAAAATAAATAGCTGGGATTTAATTAAACTAAAGAGCTTTTGCATGGCAAAAGAAACAGCAGAGCAAACAGGCAACCCAAAGAGTGGGAGAAAATCTTCACAATCTATACATCTGCCAAAGACTAATATCCAGAATATATAACAAACTCAAACAAATTAGCAAGAAAAAAAAAACAAACAAACAATCCCATCAAAACATGGGCTAAGGACATGAACAAACATCTCTTAAAATAAGATATACAAATGGCCAGAAACATATGAAAAAATGCTCATTATCACTAAAGATCAGGGAAATGCAAATCAAAACCACAATGCAATACCACCTTACTCCTGCAAGAATGGCCATAATCAAAAAATAATAGATTTTGGCACAGAAGTGGTGAACGGGGAACATTTCCACACTGCTGTTGGGAATGCAAACTAGTACAGCAGTGTGGAGATTCCTTAAAGAACTAAAAGTAGAACTAGCATTTGATCTAGCAATCCCACTACTGGGTACCTACCCAGAGGAAAATAAGTCATCATACAAAAAAGATACTTGCACACACATCTTTAAAGCAGCACAATTCGCAATTGCAAAAATGTGGAAACAACCCAAATGCCCATCAATCAACACGTGGATAAAGAAAGTGTGAGATCTATAGATAGATAGATAGATGATAGATAGATGATAGATAGATAGATAGATAGATAGATAGATAGATAAACATATATATATATGTTGGAATATGTGTGTGTGTGTGTGTGTGTGTGTGTGTGTGTGTGTGTGCGCGTGTGTTGGAATACTACTTAGTCATAAAAAGGAATGAATTAATGGCATTCACAGCAACCTGGATAGAGACTATTATTCTAAGTAAAGTAACTCAGAAATTGAAAACCAAACATCGTATGTTTTCACACATAGGTGGGAGCTAAGCTATGAGGATGCATAGGCATAAAAATGCCACAGTGGGCTTTGGGAACTCAGGGGGAAAGGGTGGGAAGCAGATGAGGGATAAAAGACTACAAATTAGGTGCAGTGTATACTTCTTGGGCGACGGGTACACCAAAATCTCACAAATCACCACTAAAGAACTTATGTAACCAAACACCACCTGTTTCCCAATAAACTATGGAAATAAAAATTTAAATAAAAAAAAGAGACATGTTTTAAAAAAATTGAGATTTGAACTCAGGTCTGTCCAATTCTAAGGTGAGTTCTCTTCCCACTGTTCTTTGCTGCCTCTCACCTGGTGGTGAATTAGCCAGTGTAACTTCCCAGCAAATAGTTGATTCATAAGCCACGTATGCTGCTCTGGCTGTTGATCTTCCCAGAGGAAAGGTAATGGTTCCCTTCTGCATTCCAGCAGCAATACCTTTTGTGCTGAATGTTTTCTTTCACCAGATCAGTAAAGCCACCTTTCATTGCCTAAACCTTAGAAATGCTTCTGATAGAGCAAATTTCTCACCACAGAAACATTTCTTACTGAGAGATTTGATGTGTAGAAGTACCTGTAACTTGCCTTGAAAGAAAATGCACACACTATTGACAGTTTATGATACAAATCCCACAGGCTTATGACACGATTTTTAGGAGTTTCTTGGAAATGCTTGGTAGTTACATTATTTGTCAGGAGAAGGTAAGGAGATCAGAGTGGGATGGAGGGACTACCCATGCTTTTTTTTTTTTTTTCAACTTTCACAGTTCTCTGCTCCATTCCTGTGCTGTGTTTAACTAGGCCTTCTCCTTTGTCCACACAAATGGAAGAAGGAATATGTTTCTACAATCAGAAATACACAAGACATTTGCTTCTCAAGAAGGACAAACTTGCAGCCATTTTTTTGCTTTTCCTTGAGGCAAGGAGTGGACAAACATGAGGCAAACATGAGCTATTTACACAAGGCAGGGGGATATTCAGGAGCAGAA
The DNA here is from genome assembly GCF_000001405.40 of Homo sapiens. Classification (NCBI taxonomy): domain Eukaryota; kingdom Metazoa; phylum Chordata; class Mammalia; order Primates; family Hominidae; genus Homo; species Homo sapiens. Next base: position 78,773,016 of record NC_000023.11, on the reverse strand, counting down.
TTTGGAGTGAGTGAAAGCACATGTTGGTTTCCACAGGCCTTGCATATATATGAAGGGTTCCACACATAGCTCATAAAGATGCCTCCAGAGAAAAGTATAACTAGCAGATTTTCAGAGGCCCAGAACTCAATCTCTTCTCCACTTCTCACTCCCCATGACCCCACTTGCACAGTGACATTTAGAAGCAACCTCCAGATCCCACCAGAAAACGTGAATATTCACTGACACTTTTGATTACTTGCTGAGGTAGCAGCCTGATCTTGAGCTGCAAGAGACCAGGAGTGCTGTTTTTTCTGAGAGTTCTTTTCCTGACAACTCCAGTGTTAGAGGGGTGGCAAGTTCATGTTTTACAGGTCTTACAATCTGGATGACAGTAGATATATAGTGAAGTATGTCACTTGCAGTATCAATGGCGGGCTTGCTCCTGGGCGTTGCTGAGAAATGTCTGAGTCCTGTGATAAAAGGGAGGGAGTTCATTATGGAGGAGGCAACCACGGCCTGGCCCCCTTTGGGTAGAAGTAGAAGAAGAGACACGTGTGGGCTCAAAATATACCCAAGGATGGCTGGGATTTGAAAGAAAACACAGTAAGTGAGTGTCTGTGTCAAGCATTAGAGTTATTGCCCACCAACTATGTGACCTAGACAAATTATCTAATTTCTTTTTAACCTAAGGGACCTCAGTTTCTCTGGCTATAAAATTCAGAAAATAATATATACCTTGCAAGATTGTTTTGAGGAAGTGTATTAAATGTGGTAAGCTACATAAAAATTTCTATCAATGTGTTTAATACATGGTAATGTCTGGCCCAGAGACTGTAACCATCTCTTTGGTGATCTCAGCCCTTCTTTGACCCTCATCCTGTCAGATAGATTCTCTAAGAAGGAACCCCAGATCCGGCCACATGCCTGTCTTGTCTGCTCTTCATCATTTGCTTTCAATACATAGACTTGTATTAATTCAATTAGTTAAGCGGTCACCAAAGTACAATGGATAGTTTACACACCTTGAAGTAATGTAAGCCTAACTTTGAAGTCTACCTCTACCCTTTTTGCAGTTATTCAGGCTGAGATGGAATCCCAACTCCAACCCTCTCAAACCTTGGTCTAGCCATTTTCAAAAACATGATTATATGTGTACCACAGAATGGTTGTAAGGTAAAATTACATGAGATAAAGTACAGTAGAGTCTAAGTACAGTGCTGGGCACATAATAGGCATGCAATAAATATTAACCCCTCCTCCTGTCACATCCGCCAAAGCCTGTGGCTGTCTGACTGATTGGTGAAAATGCATTTTCTGTACATGCAGAAAATAATGTATTTTATCCTTTCTATGTAAAAATATTCCAAAGAGTGAATTTTATGTCATCTGGGCTCACTCCATATATTTCTGTACTACACAGTCCATGACTACAATATCCCTGGAGCATTACCCATCTTTCTGGGAGAATAAACCACCAGCCTTCACCCTACAATGGAGGATTGCTCACATTTATCAGATCAAGTGCATGCTCTCTAATCTAAGTGTTCTTTAGATTCTGCTTCTATGGCAGCCATACATATCAGTTTTTCCAGGACAGACCCAACTTCAAGTATTGTATCCTATGTCCTTATAAATCACAGAGAAGTCCTGGAAATTACAATGCTTTGTCTTTCAAAATACATCTCTTACCTCTGCCACTTTTACCCAGAAGCAGCATAAAATCATTTGATAGGCCATAGGACCTGATAATATACTCAGAAATTATGGTCACTGTACCCAGAGTTTTTTGCAGTATGTGCCACATGATGTAACACCTTCGCACTCACTCATTCTTTCACACAACAAGCATTTAGTGAGCAGCCACTATTTGCCAGGTGAATGGTCCCACAGAGGTAAATATGTTTTACAAGAGAGGCAAATGTAAAAGAAAATAAATTGTAATATAATATGACAAAGGGGATGCTGTGATAATCAAGAGTAGAGAATGGCCAGCTAGTTCTACCTGAGGATAATAAAAAGACTTTCCAAGAAGGAAAAGACATTTGGACTTGGACTTAAATGATAATTATAAATAATAAATGAATGATAATTAGCTACAATTTTGCTAAATAGGTGCTGTTGGGGAGTTGAGTTGGGAGGTATTCCATTATATTATTGACTTTCATTTTAAAAGCTCATATAATATTTTATATAATATTTGTTTCTTTAGAAAGCAACACAGCAGAAATATTCCCATTATAATAACCCTACCCTCACTCCTATCTTTCATTAAAGAGGAATTTATAATACCTACTGTCTGTGGCCATCAGGTAGCTGAAGTTGCTCTTCTGTTAGAAACTGTCCTTTTCAAATATCATTACCTACTCACAAAACATGAGTTTTAAGGAAAGACATATGATATACATACCTCATATGGAGATACATGTCTGTAACATATAATGGATATTCTATGAGTATGTGCACATACTACATATACACATATACACACACACAGTAAACTCCATGTGCAGAAACAAAATTGACAGCCGGGACTTCTTGAGTACAGTGTTTTAATTGGAGCTTAAACAACACTGAAGTTGATTGTTAAATGCTATTTAAAATTTTTAAAGGTTAGCTAAAAACAATTACATTCACTAAAACAGTTTTGATGCCTTTGAATTCTCTGACTTTATTTTAAAAAGTATTAATTTCATTGCTATTTAACTCACCATCTGTTAATTGAATGAAGATGGCCCTTCTTGTTAGCCTTAATTGTCATGCCCTTTTTTCCAACCTAGTGAAAGGGTTTTTTTCATTTACTTTTTTCTCTATAGCCTCAGCCCCAGCTTGCTGCCTAGCAAAGGCATGCCATTTGTCACAGGGGGCCAGGCAAGACAGAGTGAACAGCTCATTGAAATCCATCTCAGCTTGTGAGAACAGCTAATCCCCAGGCATGCCCTGCTTTAGGGAGGGGTGTGTCAGGCACTCCCTATATTAAGGCTTAAATGTGAAGCCAAAAATGCCCCAGAACAAACCAAAACTGTGGACAGAAACATAACAGCAAGTGTTTCAGCAGGAAAAAAACTGGTGAATTAACAGTGGAATAAAAAGTCTTCAAGACCAAGAAGATACTACTATTGGGTTTGCAATTTTCATCTTTTTCTTCTTGAGAATGAATCCGGGAGCAAATTTGGAGACTACAGTCAGAAATGAGTTAACTCCTGGCCAATATTCAAAAGCCAAGCACCTTCAACTGTCTACAGAGATAGCCAATATGGAAGGTGAAAAAATAACAAAAACACATCCAGCTCTGCTTAACCAACACAGAATTTCTCTGTCCTTCAAGCCCTGGTCTGCTCTCACAATTCACCTTTGTTAGGAAACAGGCAGCTATACATATCCCATATAAATTCCAGCTAGCCACTGCTCATTTGCATCTCCTCCTTCAAACTCAGTAATTCCAATTCCTCTGAGGTTAGCTGACCAGCAGCTGAGAAGAGACCTTTTCTCTATGAATGCATAACTGGTCATTGATGAACAAACAGACACTCAGTCTATCTGACCTAGGAAAAAAATCCCTGACCATCATTCCAGATGTCCCTGTCGGTCAACACAATCTCCATATAATTTATAAGGTATTAAATATCAAAAATAATGGATCTTTTCACTTAGCATCCTGGCAGATAATGATAGCAGTACGTTTTATTTGAGAAGCCAGCACAGACTTCTCCTAGTAAAACTGCAAACAGAAAACTGTGAGGACTGGCCCCAGAGCCTCCTAGAAAAAGGCTGCCATTATACTCCATTACAGTTAAAGCTATGTAAGCACTTCCTGGATGACATCCAGTCACATAGCACTTTCTCCTTCCTTCTTGCTCACTTTTTCTTTTTTTTTCTTTTTTAGTAAAAACATGTTCTTTCAATGGCTAGACAGTGGTTTCTAGTAAAGAAGTAGACTGCAAATCAACCAGGGGAATGTGTGCTGAAAGGAATGACATATTTTTCAGAATCACCAGTAACAAGATACTTCTTTGTAGTCAACTTTATGTGCTGTGTGACATGCCATATGGACCGAGAGCTCTAATATATAACTCAAAAGTGCCAACAAATACCAGAGGGCACAAATTAAATGACAGGAAACTGCAAAAGGAAAAGTGGAGTTTTTTACTTGGGACCTGAATATAGTTTAAGAGTTTCAAATATGTTCAAGGTCTGTCTTCTTTCTTTTATATCTTCCTTGAACATTTGGATATTTGGGAACCCTTATAATCTGCAAAATACCCCAAAGTAAAAAAAGATAGTGTGACGAAAGTAGCCATCTAGGAAATTAAGTATGTACTTTGCCAACTGTATTGTAAAATGAAAACACTTTGCTCTTCAACGTTCATATTCTGCTAAAAGTTTGCATAAAGCAATGTGAAGCGCATTTTGGTGTAAAGAGAAGGCTCAAGTGATAAGTTGAGAGGCAGTAGAGTATAGAGCTAGAGGATTAAAGCCATACAGATGTGATTTCCCATCCCAGATATGCCACATTGATTCACTGAACAAATATTATTTGAGTGTCTATTTACTAGATACCGTATTGAAAAAGAAAAACGTGGTTTCTACCCTGATGGAGCTTACCTTTTATGTAGGGGGAGGGAGCGATGTAGACAGACACTGAACAAATAAATCAAAAAGATGAATATCTCAGAGTACTATGAAGAATATTAAAATAGGGTAATGTGATAAAAGTAACTGGGTGTCTACTGTAGATTGGATGATCAAGGAAGTCCTCTCTGAAGAGGTAGCATTTGAACCTAAATGATGAGAAGAAGCCAGCCACATGAAGACCTGATGGGAAAGTGTTCTAAACATAGGAAACAGCAAAGGCAAAGACCTTAAAATAAGAATGAGCTTCATTTAATATAATAAGAGAATGGAAAGAAGACTAGTGTACCCAGAGTTCAAATGTGAAGGACAGAGTAGTAAGAGATGAGGCTGACCACTTTTTAACGTTTTTTTTTTCTTGTAAATTTGTTTAAGTTCCTTATGGATGCTGGATATCAGACCTTTGTCAGATGCATAATTTGCAAATATTTTCTCCCATTCTGTAGGTTGTCTGTATGTACTCTGTTGATAGTTTCTTCTGCTGTGCAAAGATTTTTAGTTTAATTAGATCTTATTTATCCATTTTTGCTTTTATTGCAATTCCTTTCGGCGTCTTCATCGTGAAATCTTTGCCCACTCCTACGTCAAGAATGGTATTGCCTAGGTTTCCTTCCAGGGTTTATACAATTTTGGGTTTTACATTTAAGTCTTTAATCCACCTTGAGGTGATTTTTTTGTCTACAGTGTAAGGAAGAGTTCCAGTTTCAATCTTCTGCCTATAGATAGCCAGCTATTGAATACAGAGTCTTTCCCCACTGCTTGTTTTTGTCAGCTTTGTCAAAGATCAGATGGTTGTAGGTGTGTGGTCTTATTTCTGGGCTCTTTATTCTCTTCCTTTGGTCTATGTGTCTGTTTTTGTGTCAGTACCATGCTGTTTTGGTTACTTGATCCTTGTAGTATAATTCAAAGTCAGGTAACGTGATGCCTCAAGCTTTGTTCTTTTTGATTAGGTTTGCCTTGACTATTCGAGCTCTTTTTGGTTCCATATGAATTTTAAAATAGATTTTTCTAGTTCTTGGAAGAATGTCATTGGTTGTTTGATAGAAATAGTATTGAATCTATAAATTTCTTTGGGCAGTACGGCCATTTATTTATTTATTTTTTATTTTGAGACGAGTTTCACTCTGTTGCCCATGCTGGAGTGCAGTGATGCAATCTCAGGTCACTGCAAGCTCTGCCTCCTGGGTTCACGCCATTCTCCTGCCTCAGCCTCCCTAGTAGCTGTGACTACAGGTGCCCACCACCATGCCCGGCTAATTGCTTTTGTATTTTTAGTGGAGACAGGGTTTCACCATGTTAGCCAGGATGGTCTCCATCTCCTGATCTCGTGTTCCGCCCACCTCGGCCTCCCAAAGTGCTGGAATTACAGGTGTGAGCCACCGCACCCAGCCCAGTATGGCCATTTTAATGATATTGATTCTTCATGTCTATGAGCATGGTATATTTTTCCATTTGTTTGTGTCATCTCTGAATTTTTGAGCACTGTTTTGGACACTTTTCAAAAGAAGACATGCATGTGGCCAAGAAGCATATGAAAAAAAGCTCAACATCACTGATCATTAGGGAAATGAAAATCAAAACCACAATGAGATACCATCTCACACCAGTCAAAATGGTTATTATTAAAAAGTCAAAAAATAACAAATGCTGGTGGGTTCCAGAGAAAAACGAACATTTATATACACTGTTGGTGGAAGTGCAAATTAATTCAACTATTGTGGAAAGTAGTGTGGCAATTCCTCAGAGAACTAAAAACAGAACTAGAATTCAATGAGAAATCCCGTTACTAAATATATACTCAGTGGAATGTAAATCATTCTATCATAAAGACGCATGAACATGTGTGTTCATTGAAGCCCTATTCACAATAGCAACAATACAGAATCAACCTAAATGCCCATCAATGGTAGACTGGATAAAGAAAATGTGGTACATATACACCATGAAATACTATGCATCCATAAAAAAATGAGATAATGTCCTTTGCGCAAACATACATGAAGCTGAGGCCATTATCCTTAGCAAACTAACACAGTAACAGAAAATGAAATACCACGTTTTCACTTATAAGTGGTAGCTAAATGTTGAGAGTACATGGACACATTGAGGGGAACAAGAGACAGTTGTGTGTGCCAGAGAGTGAAGGGTGGGAGAAGAGAGAGGCTCAGGAAAAATAACTAATGGGTACTAGGCTTAATACCTGGGTGACAAAATAATCTGTACAACAAACCTCCATGGCACAGGTTTACCTATGTAATGAACTTGCACATGTACCCATGAACTTAATATAAAAGTTAAAAACAGAAAGATGAGGCTGAGCAATAGGTAAGGGCCAGATCATGGGGCCTTTGCCTTGATTAGATGTTGTATTTCATATCAAGACCCACTTACTATTTATGATACTTTGGGCACATTTCTTTTTTTTTTTTTTTTTTTTTTTGGGTGGTTTTAATTTTTTTTTTTTTTTTTTTTTATTGATCATTCTTGGGTGTTTCTCGCAGAGGGGGATTTGGCAGGGTCATAGGACAATAGTGGAGGGAAGGTCAGCAGATTAACAAGTGAACAAAGGTCTCTGGTTTTCCTAGGCAGAGGACCCTGCCGCCTTCCGCAGTGTTTGTGTCCCTGGGTACTTGAGATTAGGGAGTGGTGATGACTCTTAATGAGCATGCTGCCTTCAAGCATCTGTTTAACAAAGCACATCTTGCACCGCCCTTAATCCATTTAACCCTGAGTGGACACATCACATGTTTCAGAGAGCACAGGGTTGGGGGTAAGGTCACAGATCAACAGGATCCCAAGGCAGAAGAATTTTTCTTAGTACGGAACAAAATGAAAAGTCTCCCATGTATACTTCTTTCTACACAGACACGGCAACCATCCGATTTCTCAATCTTTTCCCCACCTTTCCCCTCTTTCTGTTCCACAAAACCGCCATTGTCATCATGGCCCGTTCTCAATGAGCTGTTGGGAACACCTCCCAGACGGGGTGGTGGCCTGGCAGAGGGGCTCCTCACTTCCCAGTAGGGGCGGCCGGGCAGAGGTGCCCCTCACCTCCCGGACGGGGCGGCTGGCCGGGCGGGGGGCTGACCCCCCCACCTCCCTCCCAGACAGGGCGGCTGGCCGGGCAGAGGGGCTCCTCACTTCCCAGTAGGGGCGCCCTCTGCCTGGGCACATTTCTTAACTCTTTGTCTCAGTTCCGTCACTTGTAAAGTGGAGACAGTAAGATTACCTACTCCTAAGGTTGTTGTAAATATTAAAAGAGATAATATATGTAAAACTCAAAGTCTAAGACATAGAAAGCAGGCAATAAATGTTCATTGTTGTTATTATTTATTAGAAACAGTCTATCCATGGCTGATAGGGGATTAGAATCAGATAGCCTGTGTTCAAGTCTTGGTTTTGCCACTTATTGGCTATGCAAGTTATTTAGGCTTCCTAAGCCTCATTTTTGTCATCAATAACAATAACAATATTAATAAATACATTTTCAAATGCTCAATATGCATCAGAAAGTAGCACACAAAATTCTATGGCCTCATATTGAGCATTTGAAAATGCATTTATTAATATGGTTATTGTTATTCAAACTCCTTCTGGCCTCACATATAAGTGAGAATAGGTAGCCATTTTTGTGAAATGTTTTCCAAAAAGTTTGACCTCAGAGATCACTGAGTCCAATTTGCTTATTCTGCTAACAGGGGAACTCAGGCACAAAGAAAGGAATGGACTTGCCCAAGGTTACACAGTGAGTAGGAGAACTGAGTACAAAACCAGATTTGAGCTTCCAGCCCAAAGCTCTCTGTTACAGCACAGAGTTTGCACTCAGATCCTTCCCTGGGAGCATGTTCTGCTTAAAGGAAAGGTGGGGAGGCAGTAAGGGAAGAAAGAGTGGAGAGAAAAGAGAAAGCAAGAAGGGGGAGGGTGTGTGTGTGGGAGTGGGAGTGAGAGAAAGAGAGAGAGAGAGAGAGAGAGAGAGAATGAGAGTCTTGCCTAAAGCAAGAGAAAGCACAAGAAAGGTGATGCTGAGGCCATTACATGATCAGCACTGCTGACCAGAGGTTGCCTAGGCTTGGGCCTTCATTAGTCTTCTGGAATCCCTGTGACTTGAACCAGAGCATAAACACCCCAAAATGTATTAACTAAGCACAAATTTTGGACAACAGCACTTCAGGCCCTCATAACCCATTTAAAAACAAACATTAGAAATGCGATATTTAAGAATCAACTTTTTTGTACTTCCTTACATGCATTGATAAATTTAGTATTGGTTTTCATTTTATGTATTTATTGAGAATGGAGCATCTTCATCTTATGAATGCTTACAACCATTAAAGTTAAACCCAGTCCTGCTGTGGAGCATGGAATTTTGTTTCATGTATGTGTTTGCTCTATTTTTGCCTATAGCACTTATTATCATCTGTTCTTATTACATTTTTTATTTCAATCTGAGAGAAGATACTGCTTATTTACTGACCAGATTAGAAAAAAATAATCATGGTAGACACCTTAGTTCATTCTCCTAATAAAACTGTTGATCTAGTCCTCCTGTTGCCAGCATCTTCACCTTCTACAAAATAGGTGGTCTTTTTCTTCATTCCACCTCATGGAGAGGATAATTTGAAAGGCCACAGAAAGTTATTTGCTTCTTTGAAGCATTTTTCAACAGTATAGATCTCATGAATCAGATCCCCCATGCAAATGATGCCTTATTTACCAAGAGATCAAGTAGTCAAAGTGTTATCTGTCAAAGCAATTTGCTTCTCATTGATTTTGCCATAAGCACGCTTGTAGATTAGTTCATTTACTGACTTCAGATTTGGGTACTCCCATGCAATATGTGGTTCTACAATCCTCAGCATGTTAATTGAAGCCTTGTTGAGCTTCACAAAGGTTCCGTTGAAGATGTGTCGAAGGCAAAGAAGCTGCAACACCTTTCAGACCTTTGGCCTCATACCATTAATACATCTGATCCTGATGACAAATGCCAATTTGGGTTCTGCAGGTACATAAAATTTGCCAGTTTGTCTTGCCATCCTAGCCATTTGAATTTCAGTTCTGTACACCTGCGTATATTCCTTGTGATAGTGCTTCACTGTTTCATAGATAAGCTTCCTCCTTGTTTTTCAAAGCATCTTTGTGTAAACTTCTTTCTCAGGTGATTGATCTTCAGCTTTGCGAAATTACTTTACTTTCACTTAAGGGTTTCTGGCACAACGGAAACCTTCTTCTTCTCTTTGACACCCTCCATGGTTCCAGCCAGAAAACACTGTTATTACTTTTTAACTTGTTTATTTGTTTGTTAGTGGCTTTGCTTGCTCTGACTCGAGAGCTTAAGTTTTAAAATGACAAGGATTTTTTTTTCTGTTATTGTCACGATTGTACCCCCAGTGCCTAGAAGAATGTCTGACACATGGTTGGTATTCAAGAAATTTGTTGAATAAGTAAATGAATGAATTCTGGATCCCTAGGAATTCTCCCAGCCAATTTGTTTCTCAGGAACTTCAAACTGCCTTGAACTGGGTCTAGTCAAGAAGTTCCAGGTTCCCAGTTGGGGAAAGCGACCCATAGTTTTGGCTTTGCTACCACCAACATGAGGAGGAAAAGCGACAATGTGTGGAGGAGACAACTTACCTTGGAACATCAATATAAGGCATGAGGCCTCTTTGTGACTACCTTTCTATCTATAAGGTCTGAGCTGCTGCATGATAAACAGGAAGGAAAGCTGGCTGCTAGGGCCACACAAGGCATGACAACTTGAGAACCTGTTTGACTTCCTTCACTGCCACATTTTAGGCCTCACACTAGACCTGCTCCTCTGACATCCTGAACTCAGTATCTCTCTGGATATTTGGTAAAGAAGAGCTTCATTCCCAGGCCCTCAGAGAGGGAAGGAAGCAAAACAGTAGGCAGTACATGGTTCTTTTTTTTTTTTTTTTTTTGGCTTTACTCAGAATATAGCTTTTATTTTAGGCTTAATTACAGTACACTATAGTATAAATTAAGTACAAGGATAAAGCTGTACTTTTCCAGATCTGTTTGGCCTTACATTTTAAATTAGGCTACACAATGCATAGATTGCACTGGGTTTTATTGAAGCAATGGATTGCCCACTAAAACTCGAAGAGAACCAGGGCTTCCACAATTTAATATTAATTTTTGAAATTTGCATACATTTAAGGCTTTTACTGGCCTTGAAATTTCAGCTGTGCTTTGCTCTTACTGAAATTCCTACTGCATGCTACTTGTCTATTGCTTGCTATCCTAGTGACCAGTAATATTGTGCCTTTGTCACCCAACCAGTTTTCAAGGTCACTTTCTCTGAGTTGGAAAAAGCATTTTATAAACTGTGGGGAGAGTTGGGTCCTGCTTCTGCCACTAAACTTATTTTCACTTTAGTAGAGTTACCCAACAGCTTGCGTGATTTAAAAAGAGTTGAATTGGAAGTTTTCTTCTAAGATCCCTTTAGGAATCCTGAAATTCTGTGGCTGTGCATAAGTGTACTTTAACATTTTTTTTTTGATTCTTTGTATCCTTTTTTTTTCAGTTTTCAAATTTTTTTTAATTTTATTTTATTATTGTTATACTTCAAGTTTTAGGGTATATGTGCACAATGTGCGGGTTTGTTTCATGTGCCATGTTGGTGTGCTGCACCCATTAACTCTTCATTTAGCATTAGGTATATCTCCAAATGCTATCCCTTCCCCCTCCTCCCACCCCACACCAGTCCCCAGAGTGTGATATTCCCCTTCCTGTGTCCAAGTGTTCTCATTGTTCAATTCCCACCTATGAGTGAGAACATGCAGTGTTTGGTTTTTTGTCCTTGCGATAGTTTGCTGAGAATGATGGTTTCCAGTTTCATCCATGTCCCTACAAAGGACATAAACTCATCATTTTTTATGGCTGCATAGTATTCCATGGTGTATATGTGCCACATTTTCTTAATCCAGTCTATTATTGTTGGACATTTGGCTTGGTTCCAAGTCTTTGCTATTGTGAATAGTGCCACAATAAACATACGTGTGCGTGTGTCTTTATAGCAGCATGATTTATAATCCTTTGGGTATATACCCAGTAATGGGATGGCTGGGTCAAATGGTATTTCAAGTTCTAGATCCCTGAGGAATCGCCACACTGACATCCACAATAGTTGAACTAGTTTACAGTCCCACCAACAGTGTGAAAGTGTTCCTATTTCTCCACATCCTCTCCAGCAGCTGTTGTTTCCTGACGTTTTCATGATCGCCATTCTATCTGGTGTGAGATGGTATCTCATAGTGGTTTTGATTTGCATTTCTCTGATGGCCAGTGATGATGAGCATTTTTTCATGTGTTTTTTGGCTGCATAAATGTCTTCTTTTGAGCAGTAATCCAACTTACAAGGGATGTGAAGGACCTCTTCAAGGAGAACTACAAACCACTGCTCAATGAAATAAAAGAGGATACAAACAAATGGAAGAACATTCCATGCTCATGTGTAGGAAGAATCAATATCATGAAAATGGCCATACTGCCCAAGGTAATTTATAGATTCAATGCCATCCCCATCAAGCTACCAATGACTTTCTTCACAGAATTGGAAAAAACTACTTTAAAGTTCATATGGGACCAAAAAAGAGCCTGCATCACCAAGTCAATCCTAAGCCAAAAGAACAAAGCCAGAGGCATCATGCTACCTGACTTCAAACTATACTACAAGGCTACAGTAACCAAAACAGCATGGTACTGGTACCAAAACAGAGATATAGATCAATGGAACAGAACAGGGCCCTCAGAAATAATGCGGCATATCTACAACCATCTGATCTTTGACAAACCTGAGAAAAACAAGCAATGGGGAAAGGATTCCCTATTTAATAAATGGTGCCGGGAAAACTGGCTAGCCGTATGTAGAAAGCTGAAACTGGATCCCTTCCTTACACCTTACACAAAAATTAATTCAAGATGGATTAAAGACTTACATGTTAGACCTAAAACCATAAAAACCCTAGAAGAAAACCTAGGCAATACCATTCAGGACATAGGCATGGGCAAGGACTTCATGTCTAAAACACCAAAAGCAATGGCAACAAAAGTCAAAATTGACAAATGGGATCTAATTAAACTAAAGAGCTTCTGCACAGCAAAAGAAACTACCATCAGAGTGAAAAGGCAACCTACAAAATGGGAGAAAATTTTCACAACCTACTCATCTGACAAAGGGCTAATATCCAGAATCTACAATGAACTCAAACAAATTTACAAGAAAAAAACAAACAACCTCATCAAAAAGTGGCCGAAAGATATGGGCAGTACGTGGTTCTTAAAAATCTGCATACGGTGGAGATTTTGACTCAGTAGCCTGCGCTCTTTTGCTTCCTTGTTCATAAAATATAAACAATCTGCTTCTTATTTTACCTAATTTCACCAAATCCACCAGAATCAGGAGACATTTGAGGGAAATAATCCATGCCTATATGAAATGAGAATACAGGCTCCCAGTCACTTCAGGTGGTTTCGGAAAAGAGGGCTGTCTAGAAACAGGTGGTATATGGTTTGGAATCAACAGAACACAAAGTGAGCTCAAGGGAGCAGGACAAGAAAGCCTGCAGTGCAGAAGCTCCACTGCAAGGCAAGAGAGGCTGAGGCTTAACAGATGATTTACCATTTACCAGGACAATCATCTCTTCCCATCCTGACCCTCCTTCAGTCATTTGAATTAACTGGACTCCTTTTCTAAGATGCGAACACCAAAAGGTTAAAAACAGTCAAGGAGAGAAAAATGGGGGATCAATCATTCACACCTTAATGTAAATCTGTTCAGCCTGTCACTGTCTTGATAGAGCTTTATGTGTTGTCTTTTTGTTCAGGAAGAAACGATATTTCTGGAGAGGGTGGGAAGACATGTTGGAGAACACAAAGACCACATGTAAAACAGGGAGAAAGTATGAAGTTTGGGAAACCATATTAAATATAAGGTACGGGGATTGGGGGTGAAGACAAAAGGTAGAAGAGGGCAGATAGGAATGTGAAACCTACAGTTTCTGTCCCTATGTTTCTGGGGACGTGACCTAGGGCATCATTAATGGCAAACTTCCTCTAGTTTTAAATGTAGCCTAGGGCTGATCATGCTAGTCATGATCAAAAAATGCAGAGTTTGCTGTCATCTCATGGGGAACTAACACAGCATATGGTGCTTGAGATGATGACATTGCCTTCCCCGAGAGTTAGAGGCATGAGCATGATGACCAGAAATTCCGTTTTGCTACCTCGGGACCATCACCTGTTCTAGGTATTAATCTGCCAGCCACTTAGCTCTGCATTCATCTTATTGTTGTCAAGACGATCTGTTTGCCCTATCTTTTCCCAGGCTTCCCAGTTGTTGTCCTAGAATATTTTGTCAAATCCTAGAAATTAAAATCTGAAGTCAGCTTGGCTAGCAACCCCAAATAAATCAAACCCAAGTTCGAAAAATCAGGAAAAGAGGTCATTAGTCTTTCATCTTGATCCCTGAAAAGTTACCCAGGAATTTGCCATTTGCCATTTCTGCATTAGTCTTCAGATAGCCTCAGAAATGAGTTATTGAAATTAATTTGAGAGCAAATATAGTCTAATAATTCCTTTGTGAAAAGATGGAGGGAAGATAAAGGAGAGATGCCTTTGGGTGGCCACAAATAAAGAAAGTTGAATAATTGATCAAAGTATGACTGCTAAATAATTCAAATATATTTTATTACATTTAATAAACATTTAAAATCCAAGTTGCAATTACAGCTGCAAAATTGCTTTTCCTTTCGATGTAACATAGTCACTTTTATATTTAGTTATACTTTACATTTTCTTGGTTACATTGTTAATGTGACAAGTTTTATTATTAGCAATTTATATTAACTATAAAAATGGAAATTTGAGAAGTGAAATATAAAAAAATTAAAACTAAACATGGAAATTACACAAGAAACATTTAATAATATATTTTATTTCAACTTAGTTAATATCCCATTAAATGGTTTGGTGTCATAATCATAAAATTTTATAATGTTAAGAAGCAAGGGCACAAACAAATGTTCACATATATTTTATACTTAACAAGAAATGGAAAAACATGAATACTGAAAGAAACAAAAGATTATTCACGCTTTTATTACTGATTTGATCTTACCATATAATCTAACAACTGAACTTATCTTAACCTAATTTTATTTAACTGAATCTAATGCCTTATATATTCCATCTATAGCCTCTTTTCATAAGACTACATAATGCATAATTACTTTTAGGACTTTCATTGGGAAAAAGTAATGCCAGTTTTAAGAATTTGTTTTTACTATTGTTTTAGCATTTTTTCACTTTGTTCCTAACCCAGACACAGATTTTACAGTTTTTAAAGTTACATTATGCTAACAGATTTTTACTTAAAAGTCTCAGTATTTTTAAGTCTGCATATCATCAGAAAGAAAAACAAGTTAATGAGTTTTAAAAATTTGCTTATTGTTTTAGAAGTTTTACTTTTTTGTTATTGTTCTGTGCTTTATAATTGTTTAACCACTTTCTGGCACAAGTTCAGCAACTTGCAGGATACATTTTTCCTGGAAGTTTTGTTTTAAAATTCTTAGCATTTTTAAATTGCCATGTTATCCAAATATTTTAAAAATTGATTAATGCACATTTTAAAATATTTTTGTTGTTTTTCAGGGTTTAACATTTAATTTTGGTTTTTGTTGTTGCTGCTGCTGTGTATGTGTGTATACGAGGGTTTATTTCCACTGCTCCTGACTTGAGCACAAATGTAGCATCTTTCAAGCTCAGAAGTTATATTTACAAGTTCTAATATTCTTAAATATCCACTTTAGTTTAAAAACTAGTAAGAGTTTTAAAGATTTTTGCGGTTTAAGTAAATTATAAAAAAATTTTCTCTTTTTTTGTAGATTTTAAAATACTGTTTTTAATTCCTTTTAAACTGGGTGCCATTTTAGCAGCTTCTTAGTTGCAATTTGATCCAAAGCATTATATGAATGTTATAGTGTTTTGTAAGTTTCGCAGATGCTCAGAAAATGCAAGTTCTAAATTTTGTTTGTGCTTGTTTTGTTTGTTTTATCGCAGTTTGATTTTTGACCTTTTTTTCCCACAACTTGTTCCTAACCAGGAGACGAATTTAGCCACTTGGTAGCTGCGTTGTGCTTCAAAATGTTATGCAAATGACATAGTATTTTTACATTTACAGAACCTCAACAAATAGTAATGAAAGTGTTACAAATTATTGTTGAGGTTTTTTTATTTTTATTTTTCTTGGGGTTCTCTGGTTTTTTTGTTTTGGTTTGGTTTAGTTTATGTGTTGTTTTTTTTTTTTATTTGCTTCCAATCCAGGGGCACAAATTCAGCAGCTCCTGGCTATATTAGGCTCCAAAATTCGATAAGAAAGAATAAGTATTTTCAGGTTATATATCTCTACTCCTCCCTCCAAAAAGGATTAATTCAGGTTTTAATAAATGTTTTTGCTTTATAGTTTGATTTTTTTGTATTACTTTATTTTTTTTTTCAATTTGCTCCTGACCTGGGCACAAATGCAGCCCCTTTCTGGCTGTGCTGTGCTCCAAAGTATAACAGGGAGGATAAATATTTTATAGAACCTAGTTTCCCAAAATGAAGATAACGTGACATTTTAAGAAAAAATATGTTGGTGTTGCTCAAGTTTTTTTATTGACACTTTCCTGTTTTAAGTAATTTTCCAGCTTTTACCTGCCAGACACGTATTTAGCAGCTTTCTGGCTTTGAAGTTTGACATGAAAATTTTAATTTGGTGTAAAAACAACGAAGTTTTTTAAACTCACACTGCTGGTGATTATAATTGTGTAAATCCTGTTAATTTTCTTTTTCTTCCCACCCACGTACATGCCAACGCAATTTGTTTTCTGTTTTCAAAATGCACATAACATATTTTACCAATGTTAAAAATTTGACACATTTCTTATTAATAATGTTAGGCTAAAAATATTCTTGTGCTAAAATAAACTCAATGACAGTTCAAAAAAATAAAATAAAACTAGCATATATCAGTAGTAACACAATTTTTTAAAAATCCCTGAATTTGTTCTATATTTATAGGCCCAACCTAATTACCAAATATCATTGGAATAGAAATACCTTTTTGAAAGTTTCAAAGTCATCTCTATATTATCAAATGCCACTAGCCACCTGGATAATGCGATACAATGAAATTCCAACCAAGCAGAAGAGTTTGGCAATCCATCTTGGTTGTTGTAATTAGATTTGACCTATAATTACTGAACAAAACAGCAATAAAAACTCTACAGTATACCTTCAAACAAATGTATCTGACTGGATTTGGTGCATTATTCTCAGTATCATTAGCTTCAAATCTTTAGTTTATAGCATAGGAAAAATTATAGGAGAAACCATATCTGGACCTGAACACATTTCTCATACCTAAAAGGTGGATTCTAGCATTAATTCACCACCATTATTTGTTGTTTGATCACTCACTTCCTCTTGAATAGCTGGAAGGGAAGGCTTTGTGGTCAAAGGTGTTTCAGTCTTAAACAGGGACTCCATTCTGATGTGGGCATTGATGTAGAAGGACTTCTGAAAGGATTCAAGGGTGAAGTAATAGATGAAAGGGTCAAAACAACAGTTCAGAGTTGCAAGGCACAAGGTGATTGGGTACATGATCTTTGCAAATCTTTCCAAAAAGCAATTAGTAATAGCTTGGGAGCGCACCAGGGCATACAAGAAGAGGACAGAGTTGTAGGGTACAAAGCATACCACAAAGACTGCCATATGTACTGTGATCATTTTCAGTACTTTTTTCTTATTGGTCCCAATTTGAGACAGAGTAGCAGGCTTGCGAAGAGTTCTCAGCACCACAGAAGAGCAAGAGACATTCAATATTAGAGGAATGATAAACCCAACAACTTCAATAAATATTGTGATCTTGGATAAATAAGTCTTCCAGACACGTTTGGAGAAGCCTTCAAAGCAGGTGGTGGTTGCATTGTTGACATTAGTGGTGGAAAACAAAGAGGCTGAAATACCGCCACTGAGGACTAGGATCCAGACACCAGCACACACAATGGCAGAATTCCTCCTAGTCCTAATAGTACGAGATCGAAAAGGATAGACAATGGCCAGGAAACGATCCACACTAATACAGGTGAGAAAGAGCATGCTCCCATAGATGTTGGTAAGGAATGCAGTTCCAGAGATCTTGCAGAGGGTGTCACCAAAAGGCCAGTGGCGGTTGAAGTTGTAAAATATTTTAAAAGGTAGTGTACAGACAAAAAGCAAATCAGAGACAGCTAGATTGGTGATAAAAATAGCAGTCTCACTTCTCATTTTCATGCGGAAACAGAAGACAAACAGAGAGACACTGTTGGTTATCAGACCCAAGATGAATACAACACTGTAGACAGCACCATTGAGATTATACTTGAAGGAATCATCAACAATGCAAGTATTATTGGCAGTAGCATTGCCCAACCTGGGTCTGAGGCTTGAATTTGAATCTTGGAATTGGAAGTCAATGAATCTTCTGTCACCCATGGACTTTTTTTTCAGGAGGCCTGCTGGCTGCAGGGGTTCACCACTCTGACACTATGGACCGGTAGGAAATATTTTCCTCCTATGAGAGACAAGATGGAACAAATAATCAAATTTGCCTTCCATCCATGATTTCTGTGTAATAAGATATTCTGTCCACCCAGATTGGAAGAAAACATGCACATTCCATTTGGTTTGACAAGTATTTTTTGAACATCTATTATATATTTAAAGGTACTACAAGAGTATGTTGCAGGAGCAGGAAAGCTCACACTCAATACAATAAGTGCAATACTATAGCATTGCAAATGTAACTAAGGTGTAGGTCACTCAAGAGTCCAAAAATATAAAATGATAGTTAAAACAGCATTTATGGGACTGCAAAACCTCTAACATTAAAGTCAGGCTTTATTCACTATGATCGGCTTGAACTTATCTTCTACAATAAGTACTGCCAGTATAATTATTTTATTTGGAAAATGCTTTTATAATGGAAGGCTTTTCCCTTCTGCCCAGAGTCCCTCCAGTCTGCCCACTAGTGATCCTTTTACACAGCATGATTCTAGCTCACTGGCTATATATTATTTTGTGAGTCTCAAGTTGATACATTTCAAATAGATCTCCCCAGTTTTCCATTCAGATTTTTTATGATTTCAATCATTTTATTTTTTATTTGCATTATGTTTAACTGACAAATCATAATTGAACTACATTTATGTAAGTACGAGGCGATGTTTTAATATATGTATACTACATGAGGTGATTATGTCAAGCTAATTAACACATCCATCCCCTCACTTCAGTTTTATGTTTCCAGGAACATATATATTACACCCACAGCAAGCAGCCTGCAAATGCCTGGCACTTCTGCTCTGCTGCTCTGAGTAATCAAACTTTGTGGGAGAGAAAGGACAGACAAGAAAACATTACATTCTCAATCCTGAAGAGAGGGCATGGGAAAACTGCCACTGTGGCCCTATTCATAGCTCCCATTGCTTGAACACACAACCACCTTTGCCGTCTAGAAGTGAGGGTGTGGCGCTGGGACTTAACACAGCATTAGAAGCAAGGAGTTCTATTTCTGACTCAGACACTGGTTCACTCTGTAACTTGGCTATACTCTCTCTCTTCCTTGTATAAACTTTACCTCTAAGCCTCACAGCTAAAGCTAGGAAGATTCAATAGGGCTTGTGAATTGCTTTATGAGCTTGCTAGTATTCGGCCCTACCTAACTACAGAGAAACATTATGTAAGTTTGTTTCTTCCTCCCTTCCTGAAACAACTGTAACTTTATATTTCTGTCTTTTTTGGTATACTGAAGTTCACATTAGGAACACATCCTTCTAGTGTCATGTATACCTTGTGCCTCAGAAAGCTCCCCTTGAGTTTCAGCCTTAACTACACAATTTACTCAAACAGGACAATCCAGGAGTGTGCCCTCAAGGTAATATTTCCCATACAGGTATGATTAAAAAACCAGAAAGACATTTGGCTCTTGAGATGATTCTGAAGAAGAATCAATATTAGCCTCTTTTCTTACTGGCTTCCTTTCTTTTGACTAAAAGAAACAGCATTTCTAACTATTAGATCTTCCTAAATAGCCAACATATTGTGCACTAAATAGAGGCAAAGGACCAACACTTGAGCTTCAGATGAAATGAAGAAGGAAAAATATATGCTGATGCAGTTAATTACATTTTCCACTGCAAGGAGCATTAAACTACTGTCTTCTGCAAACCTCTGCTCCCAATTATTCTGACAATTAATCACCTAAGGGTGTCAGAGAGTGTTGGGTAGCTGCATTTTTATTGACAATGGACAGGAAGCAGGTCCCGTGGAGGTTGACCAAAAATAAATCTGACCCTCAACTTTTAACTTCAATCTACACCTGGAGCTAATTCAGAGTGGCCACAATTGTTTCCTCTTTTTTAAAAAATTTCTAATGATAGTAAAATACAGGTATACCATATTTGGGGTCCTTAAGGCTCCTGGAAGAAGTAAAGTTAGCCTTTTGGCCCTATAAGGATAAATAACCAAATCACTTCACTTCATGAAGTGCTAAACTTTCAGATCATACATTGAAAACAAAGCTCCAACTTCTGGCATAAATATGCCCGGTACCCTAGAAAAGCTGACTTGCTTTTGCTCCCTACAGAGGACAGTCCAGAGCTCAGGAAGACAAGGCCTTGAAGGCAGAGTATACTAAAATTATTTTTGCTTTGCTCCATTTTTAATAAGCGCAGGCCAGGTCAGAGTGCTTCTGATCCCCAGAGCATTTCCTTGTTCTACTCTGGTCAAAGTTTATGAAAGTTGACACAATAGTTTTCAGAGGAAGATGAAATCTATTGTGTTCTTATGTATAGATACTTAGCAGTGAAGCAGATTTAAAAATACACAAATGTTGTGAAAAATACAGCTCAAAACAATCCTGCTGGAGCGATAGGGAATATGTTCAGACTGTTGCTTCTCAAATTAGTGGTTTCTAACAGATAAGACTCTAGGTCAAGTCACAGGCATAGGTCACACTCATACAGGTTTTATATCAGTGTTCCTATACATTGGTTGATGCTTCATAATAGTTTTTGAAACAAAACCTAGCTTTATGGCATTCCATATGGAGGGAACCATAGATAAATGTTTCACTCAAGAATGGAGCTAGGAAATTGATCTAAATCAACCTCTTTTATTTTTGATGCAAGAAATAGCCTTTTAAAAGTGGCTTATCTACACCTAATCTGGTTTTCACTAAGATTATTAAGGCTGCTTTGTCTCTCCATTTTATTTGAGGAAAACAGGAAACTGATATGGGCCTCAATTTGATAAAATCCTGTTCTCAGTGATTAACTTGATATTTTTTTTTCTTTTCATCAAAAAAGAAAAAAAATACTTCAGTCTCTTATTAACACTTCACTTGATAACACAGTCCAATCTTTGGGAAATAATGTGGTCTGGTGCTCAACATGATGGGGCCAAAGATTGCATCAGCCCTACTAAAGTAGAATTTTCCCTAGTACTTAGTTACAGAGTAAGAAAACTACAGGTAAATTGCTCAACCTAATATTATAAAATTGTCTTGAGTCTTGAGACTCAATATCTCATCTCAGCAGAAGCCCCAGATCTTTGGGGACAATTTTTGGGTGTTCCCAAAATAACTCATTTCCAATTTCTGTAAGGGTCATATATACCAGCCAGGATTTTGACATTATTCCATATATTTGAACAGGTAAATCAGTTATCAATTTGGACACCAATTCATGTGATATACTTAGACACTGAAACTGATAATAGCAATAAAAAGAGTCTCCCATATCTAAAGGTAAATCCCAGTGGCAGAGAGGGGTTGAGCTAAAGAATCAATATTCATCTTCATCAAAATTGCCTGGATTATAACAAATTACAATTCCTCCATCCATTCTAGATCTTCGGATGATACAATCTTTAAAAAGTTGGAACTATTTGTTACAACAAAAGTTGGAGAATTAAATTAGGAATTTGCAGTTTCTCTACACATTTTCAGGTTATTATTATTATTTCAGTAATTTTCAGGAGGGTAGGACTCACCACATTAGTTCGAACCAAATCCTGGCACCAATTTTATCTAAGACTGGAATAACCAATGAGTTTCCTGGAGGCACTGTAGTTAGAGATTTCCTCCAATGGGTGCTGTGAAATAGAAATAGTCATAATAGTGTGCCATAAAGAGAGCTGATAGCTTTTCAATAAAATGTATATTTTCAATAAAATGATCTTATAGAAGATCATAAGACAGAAAAAGTATTATATGATATAAACCAGAGTAAATGAGACCCAATAAATTTTAAAATGGTATTTACATGCATTGGATTTCATTATTACAGAATTGCAGATAACAATGTATTTTCCAACCTGTCACTGCTGTGCTATATTTTTTTAGTAGTATTGACTAAACACTAGTGCATAAAATCCATATGTGGTAACCTATAATAATTTAAAGATAATGAGTGACAAAAGACATAAAAATATTTCCTCCACTTCCATAAGGTAATGCATTACATTAAAAATACCAAAACAAAGGAGAATTTTGTTTTGGCATGAACTTACATTGGGTCTTTTTTTTTTCTTTTTTTCTTTTCTTGGCAACAACTGTTACCATTGGGCAGGGTCCTTAATAAGGGAAGAGGGAAGAGGAAAGATGACTGGAACAACAGGTGGAGACTCCACTGTCTTGTTTTTTACCTACACCCCACACAATTTCTCTCTCCACTGAACTACAGTGATATGATCAAGGCTTCAATTCAAACACTGACTGACAATCACTGCACCTTTACCAGGATGTCCTAGGCCTACCCAATATAGCATGTCTGTAACATCTCCAATTCAAACTCTGCACAAAATATTTGTATAAAACCAGAAATACTCTGCGATGGAATTCTTAGGAGTAGCAACCGCATTTAGAATTTACCCATTACAGTGCTTCCATCTGTAAAGTAGAATCATCCCCTAGCTCCAAACGTACACTATTGTTACATCTCATCCTTTTCTAAACAGAGGTAGCCTAAAACAAAGCAAACTTCTAAATAGTATTACAACTCTCCTGAAATGATTTTTCTATAATCTAAAAAAACAAAATAAGTACAATGATTAGATAATTTAAGATACATTGAGATCACCTTAATATTAAGGAGAGTTGATTTTCACACTCCTCCAGAAATCTGTCTTCCTGGAATGAAATGAATATTTTATTCCATTTTATTGGTTTATCGTAAAGGAAAACAGAAGCATTAACATTATTTTATGCCTTTCACAGTTGATAACGATTATACAAAAAACCTTTTATTCAAAATCCAAGCAAATTAGGAAGTTCAAATACCCAGAAGTTTTTATAACTGATATTAATTAAATATAGACACATCCAGCCCCATCACGAGCTCTGTGAGAGCAAGTCACAGTCCATTTCTGAGTCTCAGTTTCTCTTCTCCTTTAATCTTCAGTCTTGACTGACAGAAAAGCAACCTTCAATGAGTGCCATGCTGGTGGCCTTACTGGCTGTTCTTTTCCATCATTTATTTTCACCTGCTTACATTGGCCACTGTAAAACATTTTTTATTTCCTCAAAGTCTGCAAGCAAGGAGGGTCATTAATTTTTATTAGACTTAATGAAATGATTGCTAGATTTATTTGAATATTAGAAATAAATAGTATTAATTAATACCGGAAGCTAAGAATCACAGAGAAAGATGCCACTAATATCCTAAAGTCTTCCAAATTCCCTTATTTTCCTCATCCTCTGTCCTTGTGCTCATTTCAGCAGGCATATCACCTCTAATTGTTTAGGTCTCAACCCTCAACCCTTCCCACCTGTTTCCTGGTCACTTCACCCCTCAGAATATGAGGTTATCGGCATATTTCAGGACATAACCATGTAGAATCATTAGATCATTTACCCGTTACATTGTTCTGATAACTGATTATTTATCCGCTTAAAGTAAAGGTGGATTCCCAGTGGTAGGTAACCTTTTATTGGGCTCCCAATTTTCAGTACTAATATTCGCAAACACATTACAGGTTTTGTTCTTCCCCCAACAAGAAGGCCAAGGGCAGACTATATGTGATGACCATATACACAGACAAAAGGTAGCTACACAATTAGGCGCTGAACAAACCACAGCAAGGGCAACAATTCTCACTGCATTTTCCCAAAAGGCAATTGAATAGATCAAGCTTTAGCTAAGCTTGGCCTGAATGTTTCTGTGAGGCATCTTCCTGGTTCTCCCTTTAACTTGCAGAGAGCACACATTCTGAAAGACTGGCCTGATTGTTCCAATAAGGCTTTCATTCCCATCTCTGATTGGCAGGAGAGACTTTAGAATGTAGATGCCATCAAGTTTATCAGGTGAACTCATCCTTCTTGGCAAGAGTGCAACTTTTCATCTGTGACAAGGCAAAAGGTTTTATAATCTATGTTGATGGGATATGATGTTGGGAATTTTGTTCTGAAAAATAAACGTGTTGCAAAGCCATTGGGTAATCTGGATCTCAGGTTATTATTATTGTCTTTATGTTAGTCAAGATAAAGAAAGATGGTATAATTTTGTAAGGTAGCAAAGTGAATAACCCCACCAAGCTCTGAAATATTCTAACCTTTGAATTTGTCTGGTCTTTTCCACACTGAAATAATGATAAATTACATTGCTGAATTTCCTTTTAAAAGGTAACTGAAATACTGTATTTAGCAACTCAATAAGACCTTTTTACTGAAAATATTTAAAATTTACAAGAAGAGAGTTTAAAGATGACACATTGATGCATTTGTATGGCAAACAGCAATTAATTTCACATATAATTGCAAATTCAGTTTATGACAGAGTTTTTCATTCAAACATGATTCTTCCTTTATGGGCAAGTTCATGAATTATTCAATATAGCAAATGTCACATTCTCCATAAATCAATTAAGCATCAAAGACATGTCATGTATAGTTTTACTAGAAGAAACCTCATCATAATACAAGCCACGTTAGCGCACAATAAACTGTAAACCAAAGAAATACAAAGCTAGTCGACATACTTTCTAAATTGTTCTACACTGTGATTTTAAATTAGCTCTTTAGAACAACTGTGTTTACATGAAACAGCAGCCTGAAAATCCTGTATGTCTTCCACGGAAACAATATTATTGCCAAAACAATGGAAATTCTCGTTTTTTACCATTCATCACGAAGATCCTTGTTCAGTACTTCAGAGTTGAAGTCTAACTTCTTTCCTTACACTCTCAAAGCATCAGTGTTTCCACTGTAGTTTGTTATGCTATCCCCCACCCCCAAACGCCAAAATCAAATCTTTTTAAAAGAGAAACTTACCCCAAGAAAGAGTGTGCTAGATGAGAGAATGTGCTGATGCCTGTAGATAATTAGCTAATAAACATGTAAATGGGCAACTCGCCCTTTGGAAGTGCATATTTTTATCCATTTTTTTTTTTTTTTTTTTTTTTTTTTTTTTACAGGGAAAGGTTAGCCCAGCCTAAAGTAGCAGACTCTGGGCTGCCGCAGCTTTTTACTGCAAACCGCTCATTCTGTAAATGTGAGCTTATTTACATTTATCTCTTTCCCTTTGTTAACGACTCCCTCTCTTGAATGCTGTAGCCCGCATGCCTTTAGCAAACAGGACACAAAAAGGCCTGAAGTCCGAGCTGGAGCCGACGGCCAGGGGAACTCTTGGGGGTCTCAATAGGAAATGCTTTTCATTGGCTAAGGAGGCATTATTAGGAGTCTAGATCCCGCCCAATTCCCTGTGCTCCATCGTTCCCTTAGTCACCAGTCACTGGACTGAATAAGTTTTTCCTTAAAGAGCATTGCCCAGGAAAAGCAGTTTCACAGTCAAGAATTAATGGCTTAAGTGCCACTTGACAATATAAAAAGTGTCTTTCCTGACCAATTAATCCACAGAGAAAGCCTGTGTGCCTGTCTTTGCCGCAGGACTGCAGAGGAGGAGACAACATTTCAAACAAGGAGGAGTGTTTCAATTATGCATACCATGTTCGCTCCTACTTGTTTAAAATAATTACAACAATATTGATAATAATAAGTAGGGGGCAAGGAAAAGGCAAAAATGAAAGGTACCATAAAAATATTCCTATCACACTGTGCAAAATTCAATCTCCCACCATCACAAAAATATAAAGTAAATTTTAATACTACACTCACTTAAGCCAGATAAGTGCCCTCAGATAGAGATGTACTAGGGTCCCAGAGCTCTGACACCCACCTTCCAAGGACTAGGGAGTGTTCTGTAGCAAAAGGAGGGTCTACACTTCTCAAGTAACTGCCTCGCAGTAAGTCTAATTACCATGAAAATTTCAGAGATTTGCTAAAATACAAAATAAATAGCACAGATGCAATCTATTTACAATAGAGAGTTATCTGCAACTGTATACCTCCGCCCACCTCCCCCATGGCAAGATTTTCTTTTCTAATTATCTACAGGTTTACTGCCTTGGTCACTCACAATTCTTTTTTTTTTTCCTCCCTATATTTTCCTCTTCACCTCCCTCTCCTTGATCTGATTTTGTGGCAGAAACCCACTCATCCATCTGTAACTTCATTGTTGGCCCTTCCCCTCTGCCAGCCCACCCCTGCAAGCCTTCTCTACTCTATCTCCACCCACTGCAAAAGCCACCAACAGCAGCCCCTCCCCCTCCTCTGGAATGAAATTCTCTGCCCAGGGATAAGGTGCTTTCTTTCTCTTGGCAGAGCAGAGCCCCTGGAGTCTTGGAGGATCCTCTATTTGCTTCAGAACTTCAGTTTGTGTAATTAAGCTGCCTCCCAAGTAGGGCATGTTTCAAGCTTGTTTATTCTCCCTATTTGTTCAGCTCTATTGTGGCTCTTCTCACTATCAGTGGAGGCCAGTAAACAAGTTAGTGTGAAGCTGACACTAGCCTTATTACTTGTAACTGGCTCTAAAAAAACACTTTCTCTGTTGCTTCCTCTTCTCCATCCCACCGCCCATCTCTGTTCTTTTTATTCCCCTCTCTGCTTATCTCAAATATGTCTATTTCTGTCAGTTGCTGACATTGTCTGTGTCTTTATAAATGGTCTTTTACCAACTCTCATCCTAGACCAGTACTCGGTGCATTTGTCAGTCCACAGGCGAAAGATACAGTCTCTACCCTGCAGTATGCCAGAGTCTAGGTAGGGACACAAAGACACATGAAAAAAGTGGGATACCAAAGGTAAATTTTGAAAAAAAAAATACCAAGGCAGTTATATGGAGATTGAGTTCTGTAATAGATCAGAGGATGGAGATGAAGTCCCATGGATAGGGCCAGGAGGGTTTCTTAGAAGAAGTGGGATTTGTGCCACATTTTGGTGGATGATTCAGTATTAAATAAACCAAGAATGGAAGGGGATATATTTCTAGGTGGGCAGAGCAAAGTGATCAAATGCAGAAGATGTAAAGTGAGAGTAGGTGAGAAGGAGACCAGTTTGTAAAGGGAAAATAAGGGTAAGGAGAAAAGCTTTTGAGAGGAGTACTTTACTGTAGCAACTCAATGCACTATAGTGATTGAAGGGTTAACCTATAGTCATGATCACTGTCTGTCTATATGATCAGCTCACTACCTTTCTCCTCTTCAAATTAATAGCCATAAGTTTTCCAATTCTTCTGTCTTCATTTCTCCCTCAAGGACACAAGTACTTTGCTGATTAATCTCACCAATGTAGCAGATCTTTTACAATGTCACTGGGTCACGTGCTCTTTTAGCATCAGTCTTCCTCCCTTCTGAGTTTCAGCCTCATTGATCCTCTTCCAGCCCCTAGAATGAGATAGGATCACTCATGCCATGGATATTTCTAAGTGCTATTTCCTCTGCCTGGAACACTCTCCTCCCTCTCTAATCTTCCTTTCACCAGTTTAATCCTTATTCTCCCTTCAAATCCTATCCCAATAATCACGCCTTCAGGGAATCCTTCCTTAACCCCTCATTTAGGTCATATCCACATACTATATGTCCTATAGCATCATGGACCTTTCATGTATTGCATTTTTTACTGGTATAATTTTACATACCGTTGTGTAATTTGTTTGTGTGACAATTTTATTAACATTGATTTCTCCCAACTGTAAACTCCAAGAGGATAGGATTAATATCTGCTTAATCCAAAAAGGATAGTGGTGTTTGCAAAAAATTATTCTCCCTGACCTTCTGTTTTACCCAACCAAAGCAACAACTAGACTTTTTTTACTTATCAGCTGAAAACATGCATCATTTTGCCCATTTTTGCACAAATTTACACCAAGATATTATTTTAGGCCAAAGAATACACACAAATAAAGAAAAAAAAATCCCATTAACAAGAAAGTACTAAGGCTTATCCACTACCATCCCCTTTTTCCTTTAACTCACTTATTGCTGCAAACCTTATAGTTTTGCTTGCTCTAACATTTGTAAGGTGGAAGGGGGAAAACAAAAGTCTTCCCAGGGTTTTCTCCAATCAGCCAGTTTATATCTGTAAAACTTAACTCAAAATGTTCTTTAAAAAAAAGACACTCGTTGAGTTTTTGATGTCTATGCTACTGGGGGAGGAAATGAATATGTCGCTTAAAAAGTGCATTCAGAACTGTCTGGGGGAATATGCATTTCATTTTTTTATCTGTTTGAAAAGAAAGTAACTGAAATATGACTAACTTCCAACTGGAAATTTACACATTTGATTAAGAACAACCAGATGCTTGGGACCTTCACACTTCAAACCCAAATTAATTTTTCTTTCTGCCAACAATATCAAAGGACTGGGTGAAATCACCCATAGTGCAAGTAGTTCAGCACTATGCCAGGTTCCCTAGAAACAGTATAAATGTAACCAAAGGATTTTAACCATGCCTGTATCATTCCAGCTAACAGTTTTGGTAACTCTGATAGTCTTTAAGTGAACACAGTACCTGGACCATGTTCTAGGGAAAGGGAGCCAGTTAATTACTAACTTTGCATTAATTAGTGGATGTCTTTTTTTTTCTGAGACAGGGTCTCATTCTGTTGCCCAGGCTGGAGTGCAGTGGTGCAATATCTGCTCACTGCAACCTCTAATTAGCGGATATATTGAAGTCTTCCAGGAAACAAAGAAAGGCAAAATCCTGGATCCTGCAGCCATTTCTTTTTTATACAATCTTCTTTTTTGCTTCAGTGGAAAAAAGGATCACAAGGCCAGGTTCCCCATCAGCTCATTTAGGACACTAAGTCTCTGAAAGGGGGTAAAATTTATTTTCAAGCAAATTCCCTACAAGATTTTTAGCTCATCCTTAACACTGGATTACCTTTACTTCCTAGTGTTTTCTCAAACAACTGAGCTTTCCTGCTCACTCACTGAACCAGCTTAGGAAACAAGTTTCCATTGCTAGAAGTGGAGTTGGTAGTTACAGAAAATGAACACTTTAACCTAAGAACTTTGGGAAAAGCCCAGGAACTTTGCATGTTTGATATAGGTTAGAAAAATTTCAAGGTAACAATAAAAATAATGACTGTAGAAAACATTTTGTCAGCATTATTACATGTCAGGTAATATTCTAAGTCCTTTACATATATTTATTTACGTAATTTGCACAACTCCATGATGTAGTCACTGTTATTCCTATTTTATACTTGAGAAAAATCAGCCACAGAAAGTTTAAGTAAATTGCTCAAACTCACACAGCTAATAATTCCTCCATTAATTCTGATAATTTCTAGGCTAATAGTTATAATCATACCTTCATTTGGTAGTACACTCAGAACTCTGTCCAAATCATCTTGTTCATGAGCAAATATAAGGATTCTATCTTTTGTGATGCAAACTCCTCACTAGAAGTCGACCAACCTTGCTAACAAAATGTGTAGCTTTTGAACTGTTCAAAGGTTTGAAAATCTGTTAATATGAGACCTAAAATTACAATCTGCATGGGAGGAAAGTGACTTACCTAAGACAACAAAGCTAATAAATACTACAATCACATCAAAATGCAAGTGTTTTGGAATTATGTTTATGTAAATATGAAGTCAATTTTGATAAGTTAAGCTACATATTCAAAACCCAAGAGCAACCACTATAAAATTTCAAAAATATAGTTTAAAATTATTAAAGTAATGAAAAAGTTGCACAGAAAATAGCCACTCAAGACAATGAGACGAATACAGGACAAGAGTAGTCATTACACATATAGAAACAAAAAAGGACAATTGCATGAAAACATAAAGCCATGTCAATTATAACATTACATATTATTGATTACATAATTGAATCAAAAGACAGATTGTAAGACTGAATTATAAACAAGGTTGAAATATATGCTATTTGTAAGACAAATTTAGATTCAAATACACAAATGCATTGAAAGTAGAAGGATGGAAAAAGATATTCCTTAAAACAATGGCCAAAAAAAGGAGCTGGAGAGGCTATGTTAACATTGACAAAAATAGATTTTAAAATAAATAAGCACCTATTACTGAGATTTTAAAATAAATAATCACATATTACTGTGGTATATTTTATAATGATAAAATGATTAACCCATCAGTAAGGTTTTATGATTATAAATATATATGCACCCATACACAGAGGCACTAAATACATGAAGCAATAACTTATATAATGGCAGGAAGAAATAGACTATCTCATAATAATAGTTGGAGACTGCAATATCCCAATTTCAATAATGGAAAGACCAACTATACAGAAGATCAAGAAGAATACAGAATAATTGAACAACACTATATCCCAACTAGACCTAACAGAGCTTTATAGAACATTTCACTGAACAACAATAAAATATATTGTACATTCTTTTCCAGTGCCAATGGAATACATGGCAAGTGGACCATATAGTAGGCCATAAAGAAGCCTCAATAGATTTAATAAGATTAAAAATAATACGAAGTATGTTGAAGATCCACAATGGTTTTAAATTATAAATCATCAACAGAAAGAAATTTGGGATTTTTTTAACATGTGGAAATTAAACAATACACTCTTAAATACCAGTGGGTCAAATAAGATATTATAAGAGAAAATAAGATGAACAAACATGAAAATACAGCTTACCAAAACTTATGAAGTTCAGGAAACTTATAGTTGAAGTAAACTTATGGTTGAAGGAAACTTATGGTTGAAGATACCTATATTAAAAATGAATACAGGCCAGGCACAGTGGCTCACGCCTGTAATCCCAGCACTTTGGGAGGCCGAGGCAGGCGGATCATGAGGTCAGGAGATTGAGACCATCCTGGCTAACACGGTGAAACCCCATCTCTACTAAAAATACAAAAAATTAGCCAGGCGTGGTGGTGGCACCTGTAGTCCCAGCTACTTGGGAGGCTAAGGCAGGAGAATGGTGTGAACCCAGGAGGTGGAGCTTGCAATGAGCCGAGATTGAGCCACTGCACTCCAGCCTGGGTGACAGAGCGAGACTCCGTCTCAAAAAAAAAAAAAAAAAGAATACAAACATTGATTCTTTGACAAAATTGACAAATCTTTGGCTAGACTGACCAAGAAGATAGAAAACTCAAGTTACTAAAACCAAGAATGAAAGAGTAAATATTATTACTGACCTTATAGAAATAAGAAATTATCATAAGGAAGCATTATGAACAATTGTATTCCAACATATTAGATTACATAGACTAAATGGATAAATTTCTAGAAATGCACAAATTACTCAAACTGACTTGAGATAAATGGAAATATAAATGGACATATAACAAGCAAAGAGACTAAGTTAGGAATAAAAAAAATCATGCAAAGAAAATTCCAGGAGGAATTGGCTTCACTGGTGGATGTTCCAATCCTTCACAAACAAAACTTCTCCACAAACATTTCTTAAAAATAGAAGAGGAGAGGCCAGGTGCAGTGGCTCACACCTGTAATCCCAGCACTTTGGGAGGCTGAGGCAGGCCGATCATGAGATCAGGAGATGAAGACCAACCTGGCCAACATGGTGAAACCTCATCTCTACTAAATATACAAAAATTAGCTGGGCATCGTGGCATGTGCCTGTAGTCCCAGCTACTTGGGAAGCTGAGGTAGAAGAATCTCTTGAACCCGGGAGGCGGAGGTTGCAGTGAGCCGAGCTGGTGCCACTACACTCCTGCCTGGAGACAGAGTGAGACTCCGTCAAAAAAAAAAAAAAAAAAAAAAAGGGAGAAGAGAAGAGAGAACACATCCCATTTCACTTTATAAGGCAAACACTATTGATATATTTTGGATCTGTATCCCCACCAAATCTCATGTTGAAATGTAATCCCCAGTCACCCCAGCTTGTTTGAGGTGATTGGATCATGGGGGTGGGTTTCTCATGAGTGGTTTAGCACCATCCTATTGGTGCTGTCCTCACAATAGTGAGTCCTTCTGAGATCTGGTTGTTTAAAAGGTGTGTGGCACCTATTTCTGCCCATGGTTCCTCTCTGGCCATGTAACATGCCTGCTCCTGGCTTAGCTTTTGCTATGAATAAAAGCTCCCGAGGTTTCCCTGGAAGCTGAGAAGATGTCAGAACCATTCTTCCTGTACAGCCTTAATTTCATGAGCCAATTAAACCTCTTTTCTGTATGAATTACACAGTCTCAGGTATTTTTTATAGCAATGCAAGGATAGTCTAATACAGAAAATTGGTAGTAGGAGTGGGGCATTGCTACTACAAATACACCTGAAAATATGGCAGTGACTTTGGAACTGGGTAATGGGCAGAGATTGGAAGTGTTGGAAGGCTCAGAGGGCAGGAAGATGAGAGAACATTTGAAACTTCCTGGAGATTGGTTAAATGGTTGTGACCAAAATTCAGATAGTCATATGGACTTCACCAAGTCCAGGCTGTTGAGGAGGTCTCAAATGGAAATAAAGAACTGTTTGGCAACTGAAGCAAAGGTTACTCTTGTTATGCTTTAATGAAGAACTTGGCTGCATTGAGTCATACTCTAGGGATCTATGGAAGTTTCAGCTTAAGAGTGATGACTTTGAGTATCTGGTGGAAGAAATTTCTCAGCAGTAAAGCATTCAAGAGGTGGCCTCGCTGCTTCTGATTGCCTATACTCAGAAGCAGGAACAAAGAAATGGTCAAGTTGGAACTTAGATTTAGAAGAGAAGATTGTAAAAGTTTGGAAAATTTACAGCCTAGCCATGTGGCAAAAAAAGAAGAGCAAATTTTCAAGGGAAGAATCTAAGTAGGCTGTGGAGCAACCACTTGTTAGAGAGATTTACATGACCAAAAAAGAACCAGGTGCTGATAGCTTAGACAATGGGAAAAAAGCTTAGAAGGCATTTCAGGGATCTTTGTGGCAGCCCCTCCCATGATAGGCTCAGAGGCCTAGGAGCGGGTCCAGGCCCAGGACTCCACTGCCCTGTACAGCCTTGGAACACTACTCCTTGCATCCAGGTCACTCTGGCTCCACCCTTACCTCAAATAGCCCCAGATATAGCTCCAGCCACTGCTTCAGAAGGTGCAAGTTACAAGCCTTGGCAGCTTCCATGTAGTGTTAAGCCTATAGGTGTGCAGAGTATAAGAGTGAAGGAGACTTGGTAGCCTCCATCTAGATTTCAGAGGATGTATGAGAAACCCTGGGTGCCCAAGCAAAAGCCTGCTGCAGGGGCAGAGACCTCACATAGAACCTCTACTAGGACAACATCAAGGTGAAATGTGAGATTGGAGGCCCCACACAGAGTTTCTACTGGGGCACTGCCTAGTGGAGTTGTGGGAAGGAGACCACCATTCTTCAGACCACAGAATGGTAGAGGTTTCATCAGCTTGCACCTCAAAAAATTACAGGCACTCCACTTCAACCCATAATGTCAGCAATGGGAGCTGTACCTGCAAGGCCATGGGGCAGCACTGCTCAAGGCCTTGTGAGTCCACCCCTTGCACCAGTGTGCCCTGGATGTGGAACATGAAATCAATAAAAACTATTTTGGAGATTTAAGATTTAATGACTGTCCTGCTGGGTTTTAAACTTGCAAGGAACTTGTAGCCCCTTTCTTTTGGCTGATTTCTCTCTTTTGGAACAGGAATGTTTACCCAAAGCCTGTATCTCCATTGTGACTTGAGCAAAAATAACTTGTTTTGATTTTACAGGTGCATAGATGGAAGGAACTCATTTCCACATGGCACTTAGGAATTGGGACTTGGGACTCTGAGTTATCGTCAGAATAAGTTAAGACTTTAGGGGACTATTGGGAAGGCATAATTGTATTTTAAAACGTGAGAAGGGCATGAGATTTGTCAGTCTAGGGGCAGAATGATATGGTTTGAATTGGTGTCCTTGCCAAATCTCAACTTGAAATGTAGTCCTCACTGTTGGAAGTGGGGCCTGTTGAGAGGTAATTGAATCATGAGGGTGAATTTCTCATGAATGGTTTAGCACCATCCCATTGGTGCTGTCCTCATGATAGTGAGTTCTCACAAGATCTGGTTGTTTAAATGGGTGTGGCACCTTCCTCCTCTTGATGCCTCTCTTTCCATGTGATGTGCTTGCTCCTGCTGCTCCTTCTGCCATGAGTAAAAGCTTCCTCAGGCCTCCCCAGAAGGTGAGAAGATGCCAGTGCCATGCTTCCTGTACAGCTGGCAGAGCTGTAAGCCAATTAAAACAATTTCTTTATAACTTACTCAGTATCCGGTATTTCTTTATAGCAATGCAAGAACAGCCTAATACAATTGCCCAGATACCAAAACAAAGATTTCCTATGAAATGAAAGCTACGTATTATTATCACCTGTGAATGTAGACATAAAAATCCTTTGAAAATATTAGCAAACCAAAATCTAGAAACATATAAAGAGGATTATAGACCATGACTGAGATTTACCCCAGCAATGAAAAGTTAGTTTAACATATAAAAATCAAAGTAATTCTTCATATTACTAGGATAAATGACAAACTACATGAACAACTCAATATATGCAGCAAAAGCAGTCGAAAAAACTAACATCCTTTCAAGATAAAAACCACTGAACATACTAGAAATATAAAGAAAATTCCTTAATGGGATAATGACATCTATAAAAAATCCACAATTAACATTATACTCCATGGTGAAAAATCGAAAGCTTTTCCACTAAGATCAAGGACGAAACAAAAATGCCTGTTTTCACCACTTTTATTCAATATTGTACTGGAAATTATAGCCAGAGCAATTAGGCGAGAAAGAAATAAACAGCATCCAAAGTGGAAAGGAAAAAGTAAAACTATGCCTATTTATTGATGATATAATTTTGGGAAAAAAATCTAAAGAATCTAGAAAATAACTATTAGAGATTGTAAACAGGGTAAGCAGGTTGTAAGCTACAAGATTAATACACAAAAATCAGTTTAATATCTATTTGCCAATAACAAACAATCTGAAAATAAAATTGAGAAAAAATCATATTTATAAATGAAACGAATAAATTTAAACAAAGAAATGCAAGACTTGTGCACTGAAAACTACAAAGGATTGCTAAAATAAATTTAAGAATATCTCAATAATAGGAAAAAACTCATGTTTATAAATTGAATAGCACAATATTTTGAGGATAGGGATACTACTCATATTGATCCACAGATTCAACACATTTTCTATCAAAACCCCAGCTGACTTTTTTGTAGAATATTAAAAGATGAAATTTATATGAAAATGCAAGGAACCCAGAATAGCCAAAATAATCTTTAAAACAGAATTAAGTTGATGGACTCACCCTTAATCAATTTCAAAACTTACTACAATCCTATAGCAATCAGTATTGTGGTACTGGCATAACAACAGACATATATATATATATATATATATATATATATGTCAATGGAATAGAAATGAGAGCCCAGAAACAAACCAACACTTGTATGGTCAATTTATATTTGACAAGGGCACCAAGAAAATTAAATGAGAGAAAGATTTTTTTTCATGAATTGCAGTGGGCCATCTGGATATAAACACTCAAAATAATAGATCCACACAAAAAATAAACCAAAGTGGACTATCTGCCTAAAATTATAAAACTCTTAGAAGTATAAATCTCCATGATTTGGGGTTAGGCAATGATTTCTTACATTTGGTATTAATAGCATAAATTACAAAAGAGAAGATTGAAAAGTTGAACTTCATCAAAAGTAAAACTTGTTTGCCAAGAACTTAGTAAAGTGAAGGGTCTTAAATTGCCAAGGCCACCCCACCCCCAACCCCTGGCAGTGGTGGCAGCATGGTGCAGAGAGCATCTCTAGGCACAGGGAGGCAGAACACAGCAATTTTGCGACACTGAACTCAGTACTGTCCAGTTAGAGCAAAAAGGAAAACCGGACCAAACTCAGCCAACATCCATCCACAGAGGAAGCGTTTAAACCAGCCTTAGCCAGAGGGAAATAGCGGATCCCACTGGTTGGAATTTGAGTTCCCACAAACCTTGCCACCAAGAGCTAAAGTGTTCTATGTCTCCAAGTAAACTTAAAAGGAAGTCCAGGCCATAAGGATTGCAACTGTTAGGCCTCCTAGTGCTCAACTAGGTTCAGAGGCAGTGGACTGGAGGGGGGCAGATGACATACTGAGATGCCTGATGGGGTGTCTAAGGGAATGCTGACAACATCCCTCCCAACCTCAGGCTGCACAGTTCATGGGTCCAAAAGAAACCCCTGCCTTCTGCTTGAGGAGAGGAGAGGGAAGAGTGGAAAAAACCTGGTCTTCCATCTTGGTTATCAGGCCAGCCATATCAGGATAAGACACTGGTCAGAGTCATAAAACCCCCATTTCAGGCCCTAGCTCCAAATGGCAATTCTAGACACACCCTGGGCCAGAAAGGAATCACTGCCTTGAAGAAAAACATCCAGTCCTAGCAGCATTCATCTCCTGCTAACTGAAGAGCCTTTGGGCCCTGAATAACCAGCAGTGATACCCAGGTACTATGTTGAGGGCCTTAAGTGAGGCTCTGTTACTTCCTAGATTCAGGTGAAACTCAGCTCATTACCAGCTGTGATGGCTACAGGGAAAAACTCCTGCTTGAGGAAAGTAAAGGGGATTTTGTCTTGCACCTTACATACCAGCATGGCCACAGGGTGATAGAGCACCAAGTAGGCTCTTGAAGTCCCTGATTCCAGTACTTAACTCTTGGATGGCATTTCTGGACTGCCCTGGGTCAGAAGGGAGCCCACTCTTCACCACCACTCAGTGGTGACGGATGAGTCCCAGGCCAGGTAGCATTCATCACAAGCTGACTGAAGAGCCCTTTAGACTTAAGAGAACATCGATGGTAGTCTAGCAGTATACCTCCTGGCCTGGGTTGTTGGTGGTTAATGGGCGAGGCTCCTTTGCTTTAGAAAGGGGAGGGAAGAGTGAAAAGAACTGCATGAGTACCAGGTCAACTGTATTACAATGCAATGCCAGGTAGACTTCTAAGATTTTTTTACTCCAGTCCCTGATTTCCAAACAGCACGTCTTAACACACTCGGGCCTCAGGAACCTCACCACATCACCCTGAAGGGAAGGACACAAACCTGTTTGGCATCACCACTGGCTACTTGTAGAGTGCCAGGGCCTTGGGCACACATAAGCAATTGCCAGAGAGTGGTGAGAGCAGGGCTTGTGTGAGATCCAGTGCTGTGCTGGCTTCAGGTCTGAACCAGCAGAGTCACAGTGCTGGTGATCACAGGGGTGCTTGTGTCATTCCACCCCCAGCTTTAGGTACCTCAGAACAGAGAGACTCAGTAAGTTTAGGAAAAATAAAGGGAAGAGAGCAAGAGTCTCTTCCTGGTAATCCAGAGATTTCTCCCAGATCTTGTCCAAGACTATCAAGACGATACCTCTACAAGTCTGCCAGAACCACAGAGTTACTGGGCTTGAGGTGCCTCCTAAAGCAGATACAGCTTAGATCGCAACACCTAAGTCCTTTCAAATACCTGGAAAGCCTTACCTAGTAGGGCAGATAAAAATAAGTCCTGAAAGTGAAGACTACAATGAATATCTCAATGTCCTGACACCAAAGAACATCTACTAGCATCAACACCATCCGGGAAAACATGACCTCACCACATGAACTAAAAAGGCACCAGAAACCAATCATGGAGAAACAGAGATATGTGACCTTTTATACAGATTATTCAAAATAGTTCTGTCAAGGAAAATCAAAGAAATTCAAAATAACACAGAGAAGGAATTCAGAATTCTACAAGATAAATTTAACAATGAGATTTAAGTAATTAAAAAGAATCAAGCAGAAATTCCCCAGCTGAGAAATGCAGTGGCATACTAAAGAATGTTTTGGAATTCCTTACTAGCAGAATTGATCAAGTGGAAAAAAGAATTACAGAGCTTGAAGACAAGCTATTTGAAAATACACAGTCAAAGGAGAAAAAAGAATAAAACACAATGAAGCAACCCTACAGGATCTAGAAAGTAACCTCAGAAGGACAAATCCAAGAGTTATTGGCCTTAAAGAGGAGATAGAAAAATAAATAGGGATAAAAAATTTATTCAAAGGGGTAATAACAGAGAACTTCTCAAACCTCAAGAAAGATATCAATATCCAATTACAAGAAATGTATAGAACACCATGCCAATTTAACCCAAAGACCACCTCAAGACATTTAATAATCAAACTCCCAAAGTTCAAGGATAAAGAAAGGATCCTGAATACAGGAAGAGAAAATAAACAAATAACATATATAGAAACTCCAAAACATCTGGCAGCAGACTTTTCAGTGGAAACCTTACAGGAAAGGAGAGAGCAGCAGGACACATCTATCGTGCTAAAGAAAAGAAACTTTTACCCCAGAATAGCATATCTGCTGAAAATATTCATCAAACTTAAAGAAGAAATAAAGACTTCCTCAGACAAATAAAAGCTGAGGGATTTCATCAACGCCACACCTGTCCTACAGGAAATGAAATTGGGAGTACTTCAATCAGAAAGAAAAAAAACAGTTATGAGCAATAAGTACAGCTGAAGGTACAAAACTCACTGGTAATAGTAAGTACACAGAAAAACAGAATATTTTATAAAACTATAAGTTTGCTGTGGAAACTACTCTTATCCTAGGTATTAATAGAAAGACTAACTGATGAACCAATTGAAACTCATAAGTATTCAGGACATCATACAATGAGCTATAAATAGAAATTACAAAAATTAAAAATCTGGGGTACAAAGTTAAGACATTGAGTTTTTATTAGTTTTCTTTTTACTTGTTTGTGATTTTTTTTACTATAAAAAGTGTTAAATTGTTATCAGGTTAAAATAATGGGTTATAAGGTAGTAGTTGCAAGCCTTTGGTTTGATGTTACCATCAAACCAAAAAACATACAATGGATACACAAAAAATAAAAAGCAAGAAACTATATCATACCACCAAAGAAAACCACCTTTACTAAAGGAAGACAGAAATGAAAGAAAGAAGGAAAAGACCACAAAACAACCATAAAACAAATAACAAAAAGGCAAGAGTAAGTCCTTACTTATCAATAATATTGAATATAAATGGACTAAACTCTACAATCAAAAGACACTGGCTGGATGAATGAATAAAAACACAAGACCCATTTATCTGTTATCTGCAATGAACTCATTTCTCCTATAAAGACACAGATGGACTGAGAATAAAGGGATAGAAAAAGATACTCCATGCCAATGGAAACCAAAAATGATCATGAATCACTATGCATAGACAAAATAGATTTTGAGACAAAAATAAGAAAAGACAAAGAAGGTCACTATATAATAATAAAGGGGTCAATTCATCAAGAGAATATAACAATTTAATGTAACTATGGATGCATCCAAGACTGGAAAACTTAGATGTATAAAGCAAATATTATTGGAGCTAAAAAGAGAGATAGGCCCCAATACAATAATACCTGGAGACTTCAACACCCTACTTTCAGCATTGGACAGATACTCCAAACGGTAAATCAAGAAAGAAACATCAGACTTGAACTGCACTATAGACCAAATGGATCTAATAGATATTACCAGAACATTTCATCCAATGGCTGCAGAATACACATCCTTTTCATCAGCACATAGATGATTCTCAAGCAGAGACTATATGTTAGGCCACATAACAAGTCTTAGAATATTCAAAAAATTGAAATAATATCAAGCATCTTCTTTGACCACATGGAATAAAACTAGATATCAATAAAAAGATGAATCTTGGAAACTATACAAACACATGGAAATTAAACAATATGTTCCCAAATGACTAGAGGATCAATTAAGTAATTAAGAAGAAAATTGAGAAATTTATTGAAACAAATAATAATAAAAACACAACATACCAAAACCTATGGGATACAACAAAAGCAGTACTAACAGGGAAGCTTATAGCTATAAGTGCCTACATCAAAAAAGAAAAAAAAAAACTTCAAATAAGTAATTTAACAATTCATCTTAAGGAACTAGAAAAGCAAGGGCAAACCAAACCCAGAATTAATAGAAGAAAATAAATAATGAAGTTCAGATCAGAAACAAATAAAACTGAAATGCAAAAAAAAAAAAATACAAAAGATCAATGAAGCAAAAAGTTGAGTTTCTTGAAAAGTTAAACAAAATTGACAAACCTTTAGCCAGACTAAGAAAAAAAGAGAGATGATCCAGATAAATAAAATTAGAAATGAAAAAGGAGGCATTACAACTGATACTGCAGAAATTCAAAGGATCTTTAGTGGCTACTATGAGCAACTATATGTCAATAAATTGGAAAATCTAAAAGAAATGGACAAATTCCTAGACACATACAACCTACCAAGATAGAGCCAGAAAGAAATCCGAAACCCAAACAGACCAATAACATAACAAGATCAAAGCCATCATCAAAAGGCTCCCAGTAAAGAAAACTCCAGGACCCAATGGCTTCACTGCTTAATTCTACCATACATTTAAACAACTAATATCGATCCTACTCAAACTATTCTGAAAAACACGGGAGGAAATACTTCCAAACTCATTCTACGAGGCCAGTGTTACCCTCACACCAAAAACAAGGACACATAAAAAAAAATACAAACAAAAAACACTACAGGCCAATATCTCTGATGAATATCGATGCAAAAACCCTCAGCAAACTACCAGTCAACAGAATTCAACAATACATTTGAAAGTTATTTATCATGACCAAGTGAGAATTATCTCTGGTATGAAAAAATGGTTCAACATATGCAAATCAATCAGGGGGACACATCACATATGAATGAAGAATAAAACATTTCAATGGATGGTGAAAAAGCATTTGATAAAATTTAACATCCCTTCATGATAAAACCCCTCAAACAACTGGGAATATAAGGAACATACCTCAACATAATAAAAGCCATATACGACAGACCCACAGTGAGTATCATACTGAATGGGGAAAAACTGAAAGTCTTTCCTCTAACATCTGAAACACAACCAAGATGTCCACTATCATCACTGTTATTCAATACAGTACTGGAAGTCCTAGCTAGAGCAACCAGACAAGAGAAAGATAAAAAGCTTTCAAATTAGAAAGAGAAAAGTCAAATGATTCTGTTTGCAGATGCTATGATCTTATATTTAGAAAAAAACTAAAGATTCCACATGAAAAAACTATTAGAACTGACAAATTGAGTAAAGTTGCAGTATACAAAATCAATAAGCAAAATCAGTAGCATTTGTATATGCTAACAGTAGACAATGTGAAAAAGAAATCAAGAAAGTAATCACATTTAAAATAACCACAAATAAAATTAATTATCTAGGAATTAACCAAAGAAATGAAATATCTCTATAATGAAAACTATAAAATAGTGATGAAAGAAATTGGAAAGGACACCAAACAAAAGAACAATAGCCAATGTTCATGGATTGGAAGAATCAATATTATCGAAATGTTCATACTACCCAAAGCAATCTGCAGATATAATGAAATGCCTATCAAAATACCAATAATATTCTTCACAGAAATAGAAAAAAAATCCTAACATTCATATGGGCCCACAAGAGACCCAGAATAGCCAAAGCTATCCTAAGCAAAAAGAACACAATTGGAAGAATCACATTTCCTGACTTCAAAATAGCCTCCAGAGCTAAAGTAACCAAGCAGCATGATACCGGCATCAAGACAGAAACATAAACCAGTGGAACAGAATGAAAAACCCAGAAAGAAATCCACACACCTACAGTGAACTCAGTTTCGACAAAGGTGCTAAAAAATATACTGGGGAAAAGGCAGCCACTTCAATATATGGTGCTGGAAATACTGGATATCCATAGGCAAAAGAATAAAACTAGACCCCATCCCTAGCCATGTACAAAATCAAATCAAAATCGACTAAAGACTTAAATATAATACCTCCAACTATGAATCTACTACAAGAAAACATTGGAAAAATCCCTCAGGACATTGGTCTGGGAAAAAATGTCTTGAACACAAGCACAGGCAACCAAAGCAAAAATGGACAAATGGAATCACATCAAGTTTAAAAGCTTCTTCACAGCAAAGGAAACAATAAATAATGTGAAGAAACAACCCACAGAATGAGAGAAAATATTTGCAAACTATCCATCTGACAAGGGATTAATACTCAGAATATATAAGAAGCTCAAACAACTCTATAGGAAAAAAAATCTAATAATCTGATCAAAAGACGGGCAAAATATTTGAATAGACATTTCTCAAAAGAAGACATACAAATGGCAAACAGGCATGTGAAAATGTGCTCAACATCATTGATCATCAAAGAAATTTAAATCAAAACTACAATGAGATATCATCTCACTGCAGTTAAAATGGCTTAGACCCAAACAACAGGCAATAACAAATGCTGGTGAGGATGTGGAGAAAAGGAAACACTCATATACTGTTGCTGGAGATGTAAATTAGTTAAAACCACTATGGATAACAATTTGGGGGCTCCTCAAAAAACTGAAAATGGAGCTACCACATTATCCAGAAATCCCACTGCTAGGTATATCCCCAAATGAAAGGAAATCAGTAAATAAAAAATATATCTGCACTCCTGTATTTGCTGCAGCACTGTTCATAATAGCCAAGATGCTGAAGCAACCAAAGTATCCATCAACAGATGAATGTATAAAGAAAACGTGTGATATGGTTTGGCTGTGTCCCCACCCAAATCTCATCTTGAATTGCGTTCCCATAACCCCCATGTGTGGTGAGAATGACCCCGTGGGAGGTAATTGAATCATGGGGGTGGTTTTCTCCATGCTATTCTCATGATAGTAAGTTCTCACAAGAACTGATGGTTGTATAAGGGGTCTCCCCCTTTGCTGGGCTCTCATTCTTCTCCTTCCTGCCACCATGTGAAGAAGTACATGTTTTCCTCCCCTTCTGCCATGATTGTAATTTTCCTGAGGTCTCCCCAGCCATGCCCAACTGTGAGTCAATTAAACCCCTTTCCTTTATAAATTACCCAGTCTCGGGTATGTTTTTATTAGCAACATGAGAATGGACGTATACAATATGGTACATATACACAATGGAGTACTATTCAGCCATAAAAATAAATGAGATCCTGTCATTTGCAACAACATGGATGGAACTGGATACAATTATGTTAAGAGAAATTAGCCAGGCAGAGAAAAAGAAATAACACATATTTTAACATATTTGTGGGATTTAAAATTCAAAACACTTGAATGATGGATACAGAGAGTAGAAGGATGGTTACCAGAGGTTGGTAAGGGTAGTGGTGGGGGACGTGGGGAGGTGAGGATGGTTAATGGGGACAAAAACTGGTGGAAAATGATGAATAAAACCTACCATTTGATAGCAAATCTGGGTGACTATAGTCAATAATAACTTAATTGTACATTTAAAAAATAACTGATACCAATGTAATTGGATTTTTTCTAATCCCAAAAATAAATGCTTGAGGGGATGTGTACTCTATTCTTCCTGACCTGCTTATTTCACATTGAATGCCTATATGAAAACATTTCATGTACCCCAAAAATATATACACTTAATATGTACTCCATTTACTATATACCCACAAAAATTAAAAATTAAAT
The DNA here is from genome assembly GCF_000001405.40 of Homo sapiens. Classification (NCBI taxonomy): domain Eukaryota; kingdom Metazoa; phylum Chordata; class Mammalia; order Primates; family Hominidae; genus Homo; species Homo sapiens. Next base: position 78,729,430 of record NC_000023.11, on the reverse strand, counting down.
GAGTTATAGCAGAAAAAAAGCCAAAAAACTCCTTGAACATTCCATGCAGATGGTTCCCAAGCCCACCTCAGTGGGAAAGGAGAGTTTCTACAGCATTGGACTTTTTAATAATGAAATTGAACCTAGAAATCTGTGTTTCAATTCTGTCAAAACTTTCTCAGCTTCAGATAGTCAAGTGTAGAGGAAACATACATGAACCTTCTGTAATTTGCAGAGCTTTAGGGGTTGGTGTTCCAAACTCAGTTTTCACTCTTTATTAAACTTTCCCTCATTGTTTCATCAATAGGCACTGGGTACATACTCTCTGTTATTATTAATGATTTTTTTATCGTACGACATACCTTTCCAATTAGGTTGGCAACTCTTTGAAGGCAGGGATCCTATTAATCACATTTATTTCTCCTTTATGGTATCTGGTATGGCAACTTACTGTTTCAGTTAGGTCTCTTTTGTTTGCAAGGAGAAAGACCCAATAAATCTAGCTCAGTTAAAAGGGGACAGTGGGTGGGTTGAAGATATACAGGAATCCCAAAGAAAGTGAAGGGCACAAAGTATTTATATCCAGTTGGCAGGAACTGGAGCTTGGATAGGAGTAAAGAAGTTACAAGTGCTAACTCTGGAGTTAGACCACCTGTGTTCAAATCCTGGTTTTGCTACTTACTAGCTGTGTGACCTTATGCAAGTCACTAACAAATTGGTGCTTCAATGTACTCATCCATCAAATAAGAATAATAATTATACTTACATCATAGTAAGTGTGTGAAGCCCAAGTAAATTAATATATGTAAACAGCTAAGAAAAGTGGCTGGCACATAATGAGTGTTTTATAAATCTTAACTATTATTATTATCAAGTGCCAAGGTGTAGGTGTAGTTCTCTCTCACTCACTTGCTCTCACTCTCTCTCTCTCCTATCTTTCTCCCACCTCTTCTCTTGAGTTTTATAGTATTTTCTTTTTTGACATCTTCCTTCATCTATGGGTTTCCACAGTTCTCTCTCTGTGAATCATTTTCCTCTTCTCCTACTCTATATTATTACTGCTCTCTCAAAATGTCAGCTTGAATGTTGCCCTTTAGCTTAGTATAGTTCAAAGCCATGCCCGTGTGTTATAGCAATTAAGAGCACCGACTCTAGAGCCAGACTGCATGGGTTTCAATCTCAGCTCTGCCATTCACTATCTGTGTGGCCCTGAGTAAATTACTTAGTTTTCTGTTATTTCATCTCCTCATTTGAGGAGACTTATGTGATTTTTATCTCCTCATTTGAGGATTGTCTCCTCCTTAAATTAGTGATGATAATAATAGAATCTACCTCGTAGACTGTTGTGAGGATTAAATGAGATAAGACTTTACCTAGTAGATACAGAAAGTGCGACATGAGCATTTGTCATCATTATTATGGCAATTCTCAAAGCATTTCTTGGCTTCTGTTCCTGCCACTAACTGCTTCAGAGCAGAGTTTCTTTGGATTAGCTCATCTTTTGTATGCTGGGATTCATGGGACACAAATTGATGCCAAACCTAGGAATAGAATTCCCTTGCTTAGGTACCCATGTATGGTCCAGTTATGGGCAGGGCGATGGGGTCAAAGAATATAAAACATGGCTACTACCCTTGCTGGGATAGCAAGGGTGAGAAGTTTATATTTCCTTTAGAGTGTGAACAGTTAAATGCTGTAGATATATCTAATACACTTGCATAGAGTTCCCAATAAATATTGCTGATGCTAAATAAGCTGGACGAATAATGCAGATATACATAAGATTGAACATGTATCGGGTCCAGAGCTCTCCCTGGAAATATGTTTGAAACTAAATCCTGGAACCACAGAATGTCGAAATTGGCTAGAGTCTTAAAGAGATCTCCCAAATGCAACCTTTCCTCATTTCCACCATCTTTACCCTACGTTTTACGGCTTGAAAAACTGAACCCCTGAGACTAAACATGACAGCCCAAATCATACAGTGACTTGTCAAGAAACTTTAGTTATGCCAGAATTATTGCTACTCCATTAATTGACAATTTAATGCAAGTACTTCTATAAAACCATTTATCCCATATCTCAAATCATACTTCCCACTTAATTTTGTCAGTCCTATGGCCAACACTTAAGCAAATGTCTATCTTTATTTGGGTTCCCATACTCTTTCGTATTGGTTTCTACCTAAAGATAGTACCTCATAATATAATATTTTTTAAAGAGTCTTCCAACCTGACCCCTGCCATGTCAAGGAACTACAGCCAGAAATATTGGAAGAGCCAAGTTATGACATAATCTCATCCATAATTTAGCTTTGATACATAGGGCACCTGTGTATTATATATTGTTATATCTACCAAAATGATTAAACAATTAAAGGAAAATGTAAAATATTTATTTAATAAAAAGGACTACATTTCAATAAAAGGTTCTACCTTTGAGGTTTTGTTATTTCATCCTTCACCTGATTAGATATATTATAGCACTTAATCTTATTTCCTTATTCTTCATGTATTATCATCTGTAAACTTGTGACACTGAAGATAACATTAAATGCAAAAAGTTCATATAAGTATAACCATAATAATGAATAAAGGTAAATATAATCAACTCTCCTTCAATCAAAGCCCTTCAGTTCCCTCAAACACCCTTGTGCATATCTGCCTCTACATCTTTCCCTATCTTAATGCACAAATTCCTTTTTCCCTGATCAACATTTCTTCTGATCTGAATTAACAAATCTTCTCATTATTTGAAAGAGGAAATCTATAGCATCCATTAATTAATAACTTTCAAATAATTTCGTCTTCAATAAAATACCCAATACATTAAAATAATACTAACGTAAACAAGTCTGTCTGTGATATATTCACATAAACAAACTCCTTGGCTTTATTTTTAAAGGTACTGCAAAATGGCTTGAACCCATCATTCTAAGCTTCTCATGCAGCACTGTCCTCCATGAATCTGTCACTCAAGTTGGAAAAGCTTACTTGTTTCTCTGTTAAAATGCCTTGCACATTTCAGCCTCCCTAATGATACTCACTTACAATGACATCCCTGCCCTTCACTGAGGATTTTAACCATCTAAATCCTACTGGTTGTCATAGGAGTTTGGCAAAGTACGAAAACCATGTGAATTGGCTACTACACAGAAAGGCTTCATAGAGGAGAAGAGGCATTAAATGAGCCTTGAAGCCAAAGTAAGGTTTGAAGAAATAGAGAGTAGAGGAAAAAACATTTGGTTTGGGCATTAAGATAAGCAAAGCTGTGGGAGTAGAAATGCACAACAATGGGCCAGGCACGGTGGCTCACGCCTTGTAATCCCAGCACGTTGTGAGGCCAAGGTGTGTGGATCACCTGAAGCCAGGAGTTCGAGACCAGCCTGGCCAACATGGTGAAACCCTATCTCTACTAAAAATACAAAAATTAGCCAGGCGTGGTGGTGGGTGCCTGTAATCCCAGCTACTCGGGAGGTTGAGGCAGGAGAATCACCTGAACCCAGGAGGTGGAGTTTTCAGTGAGCCGAGATGGCACCACTGCACTCTAGCCTGGGTGAAACTCCATTTCAAAAAAAAAAAAAGAAGAAAGAAAAGAGAGGGAGGGAGGGAGGGAGGAAGGAAGGAAGGAAGGAAGGAAGGAAGGAAGGAAGGAAGGAAGGAAGGAAGGAAGGAAGAATGTTTGGGGGATGAAGAAATCAGTTTTGCTAGTGAGAAAAAAATGAGGGTCTAAATCAAACAAATGTATCAATTATGTAAATCCTGCCTTCTTCCACAAGCTGTCTGAGGCAGGAGAGAACACTGGAGATAGAAAAGAAATTATGGATCTGAGCACTAGGAGGAGGGAGAATCAATGAAAGTTTCAGCGTTTTAAGCCTGGAAGTACAGTGATTATATTTTCACATTAGAAAGATTGCTATGGCAACAGTGTAGAGAATGCAGTGGTTGGAAGCAAAGTGATTAGTTAGGAGACATTGTAGCAGTTCAAGCATGAGTTGATGAGGGCTCAGCCTTGACTGGGGTAGTGAAAGTGATAGGGAGAAGGAAATGCGAGTAAGAAAATGTGCAAGAAAACTGGAAGAATAAGATGTCACTGATGAAAACAAGAAAGTTTCAAGAGAGAACCAATCTGAGGGATAATAAAGAGCTAAGATTTGGTCAATGTATGAAGGTTATAGCACACGTGTGTGTTTGTGTGTGTGTGTGTATATGTGTGTAATATGATTTTTTCATAAGATACACTAGATACATATTAAATTGTATAAATCCTAACTTCAAAAGAGACTGGTAGAAGGAGATTCAGAAAGAGGGAAGGGAAGAACTGGGAGAGGTAGTTTACCATCTATCAAGATATAAAAATGGAGTATCCCATTTTTCACCAGCACAAAACCACCAGCTTTTTAGACATGTTAAGATTTAGGTGACAACAGGACCTCAGAATGAAAATTTTCTGGAGATGGTTTGAGAAACTGTATTGGAGTTCAATTAAGAGGTTTGAACTGTAGATAGAAGATTCCAGAGTTATTTCTATGGGGAATAATTAAAGCCTTGAGCCTTCACAAGAGAAAGCACAGGGGGTGAAGAATTAGTTTGGTGAATTACCTATATTTAAGTGTGAGGAAGAAAAAGATGAAGGAGTCATTGGAAAGATTGAGGTACACACTATTGACCCCAAATCAACCAAATACTTTCAAGAAAGGGAGGTCAACCAGCTGTGTTTGTTAAACGCTGAAGAAGGTTCCTGATTTGCTTAGGTTTGACCATTAGGGCTGTTGATTAGGAGATAATTGATGGCCTTTGAGTTCACGAATTCTATAAAGCCACAGGAAATAAAGATGAAATGCAGTGTGTCAGGAGACAGAAAGAGCTATGGAAGGTAACTCTAGGAGACTGACAGGGTTAAGTAAAGGAGCTGCTTCCCCAATCCAAAAAGTGGATGAGGCCCCGTGAAAACTCCATTAATTAGCATTGCATCTTGTTGCAAAAATAATCTAATTATTTTCACTTAACATTGTTTACATAATGCAAATATCTGAATTTATTGTAACATATTTGAAATGTTCACTGGTATAAATTGAAAAATAAATGTCAATTTGTTCTATTACAATAGGTTAAGTCAAAATAACCTTAATTATGCTCGCATGTATTTTAAGGAACTGGCAGTAAATTATTTATGAATGGTCTATTGGGCAGCTATATAATAGCATGCATCTTTGTGTCTATGTGTGTATACATGTGTACGTGTGAACATGCATGTGTGTGTACCCTCAAAATATAAATTGTTTGTTAAATGCCAAATTCAAATTTCACCTCTTTCATAGATCTTTCATTGATCACCCCAGTCTGCATTCTTGCAACCACTAAGCTGACATCTGTATGTTTTATTTAGCTTTTATATTAACTGCCTTATCATATCTCTTTTGATATTTTCTGAAACAGCCCTCTAAATGTTGCTTTTGAGATTTTATTCAGTTGTCCTGTCTCCCCCTCCCCTCCATTAATTTGTAAGGTTCTAAGACAAGAGCTCTTATTTTATTAATCTTTGTGTTCTTCATTTAGCATAAGTTTTGCACATAGTAGAAAATTAGTAATTATTTATTGATTTCATCGTTTATTGTTTAAATAGCCTGAAATTTTGCACATAAGTTCCATGTATTTTCATATTATTTGTTCATGTAGTGCCATCATTTTATACAGTATACTAATATTTAACAGAAGTCATTTGTAGCCTTCATGCTCTTTTACATTTTAACTTACTCTATATTTGAAAGGTAGTAGACTTTGGAAGCCCTGAATCATTATTGATCTTTTTGGACAGTATTCTCTTTGTGTTTTCTGGCCACTTTTACCCTTCATCTGTTACAGTAATTTTACTCTTAGCTTCTAAATATGCATCAATGATTCAGTCAACATTTCTGGTTCTCCACTGAGGTCTAAATCATTTTCAATCTGCTCCACTCATGTACAGATAATTTTTCCAAGTTAGTTAGAAAGAAACACAGACGAAATGGAGTGCCCAATGTCATTAGACTTTATAAGCCAAGGAATTATGCATTTGGGAGAATAGCTACAAATCCAAGGATCAATCTTGTACCTCCTCCCTGCACCACACGTGTGTGTACCTAAAACATAGCTGCAGTTTTATCACAAGGACCTAGGGTGAGGGATTCTGAGAGGTTGGCAAAGGAAGGATGGAAAAAACAAATGAGAGAAGAAGTAGCAAGTAAAGCAGAATTCAAATAGCAAGAAAAGAATTCAAGACAAGAAGGAAAAAGGAGAAATCTTGTCTTTTTAATGTTGAATACTTATTAGGCATGTGTTCTACTTTTATACGAAGCTCTCATTTTTAGGAAAAGAATCAACTAGGAGAAAACATTATTCTTCCCTCTACCTAAAAAACAGTTTTCTAATATAGCCATTTCAATAAAAAATGGAACATTAAATATGATCAACTCATCTCTCCTATAATATAACTATTTACTGGTAGTTACAACACAAGAATACCACAGTACTTGTTCTCACAAGGGGTCACAATGACTTCCACTGGGTGGTTACTATATACCTAACAGGACCCATTATACTCTGGCTATCCCTCTCTGGGCCTCAAAGTACCCTTTATAAAATGAAATGTTTAGACTCGATGAGGACTAAGGTGTTTCAATTTCTATCAATCCCTTGGTTGATGGTGTTTGATGGTATTCTTCCCCAATCCTATTACTTTTTAAACATTGACACAATATGATAGCATGGAAAGAACACCAGATTTGTCCTCAGAGGAGCTCAGTTCCTATCTTAGCACTGCTGTTAAGTGATCTTCAGAAGATAACATCATATTGCTGCACCCAATAAGTAAAAGAGAGGAGACATTTCAACTAAGTACATTTCATTTTTTAATGTTTTTAATCACTCATTTTTTTTAACTTTTAAGTCAGGGGTCCATGTGCAGGTTTGTTACATAGGTAAACTTGCATCCTAGGGATTCGTTGTACAGATTATTTCATCATCCAGGTGTTTAGCCTAGTACATTAGTTATTTTTCCTGATGCTCTCCCCGCTCCAGAAGGCCCCAGTGTATGTTGTTCTCTGGGTGTCCTTGTGCTCTCATGATTTAGCTCCCAGTTATAAGTGAGAACATGCGGTATTTGGTTTTCTGTTCCTGTGATAGTTTGCTAAGGCCTCCAAGTCCACACTGGTTCCTGCAAAGAACATGACTTTGTTAAAAAAAAAAAAAAAAACATATTTTAAGTTCAGGGGTACAAGTGCAGGTTTTTTTTTTTTACATAAGTAAATTTATGTCTTGGGGTTTTTTTGTACAGATTATTTTATCTCCCAGGTATTAAGCCTAGAGAAGGGAGAGGATCGATAAAAATATTTAATGAATCTCCTTCTTTTTTATGGCTGCATAGTATTCCATGGTGTATATATACCACATTTTCTTTATCCAGTCTATCATCAATGGACATTTAGGTTGATTCCATGTCTTTCCTGTTATTAATAGTGTTGCAATAAATATACACGTGCATGTAACTTTAAAATATAATGATTTATATTCCTTTGGTTATATACCCAGTAATGGGATTGCTGATTCAAATTGTATTTTTGTCTTTTTACTTATCTTTTTTAAAATTTCAGTAGTTTTGGGGGAGCATGTGGTATTTGGTTACATGAGTAAGTTCTTCAGTGGTGCTTTCTGAGAGTTTGGTGCACCCATCACCTGAGTAGTGTACACTGTTTCCAGTGTGTAGTCTTTTATCCCTCACCCGCCTCCCACCATTCCCCCTTAGTCCCCAAAGTCCACTGTAGCATTCTTATGCCTTTGTGTCCTCATAGCTTAGCTCACTATTATAAGTGAGAACATACCATGTTTGGTTTTCCATTCCTGAGTTACTTCACTAAGAATAATGGTCTCCAACTCCATCCAGGTTGCTGCAAATGCCATTGATTTATTCTTGTTTATGGCTGAGTAGTATTCATATATAAATATATATATATATATACACATATTCTTTATCCACTTGTTGATTGATGGGCATTTGAACTGGTTCCATATGTTTGCAATCACGAATTGTGCTTCTACAAACATGCATGTGCAAGTTATTTTTCATATAATAACTTCTTTTTTCTCTAGGTAGATACCTGGTAGTGGGATTGCTGGATCAAATGGTAGATCTACTTGTCATTATTTAAGGAATCTCCATACAGTTTTCCATAGTGGTTGTACTAGTTTACATTCCCACTAGCAGTGCAAAAGTGTTCCTTTTTTGCCACATCCATGCCAACATGTATTTTTGTTTTATTTTTAAAAAATGGCAATTCTTGCAGGAGTAAAGTGGTATCACATTGTGGTTTCCATTTACATTTCCCTGATCATTATTGATGTTGAGCATTTTTTTATGTTTGCTGGCCATTTGTATATCTTCTTTTGAGAATTGTCTATTCATGTCCTTAGCCCACTTTTTGATGGGTTGTTTTTTCTTGCTGATTTGAGTTCCTTATAGATTCTGGATATTAGTCCTTTGTCAGAGGCATAGTACGCAAAAATTTTCTCTCAATCTGCGTGTGGTATGTAGCATTTTGCTGTGCAGAAGCTTTTTAGTTCAATTAAGTCCTACCTATTTATCTTTGCTTTTGTTGCATTTGCTTTTGGGTTCTTGGTCATGAAGTCTTTGCCTAAGCCAATGTCTAGAAGAGTTTTTCTGATGTTATCATGTAGAATTTTTATTATTTTGAGTCTTAGATTTAAGTCTTTGATCCATCCTAAGTTAATTTTTACATAAGACAAGAGATGAGGATCTAGTTTTATTCTACATGTGGCTTGCTAATTATCCCAGCACCATTTGTTGAATAGAGTGTTTTTTACCCACTTTATGTTTTTGTTTGCTTTGTCAAAGATCAGTTGGCTATTAAAATTTGGCTCTATTTCTGGGCCCTCTATTCTGTTCCATTGATCTATGTGCCTATTTTTTATATCAGTACCATGCTGTTTTGGTGACACTAGCTTTATAATGTAGTATAAAGTCCGGTAACATGATGCTTCCAGATTTGTTCATTTGCTTAGTCTTGCTTTGGGATGCGGGATCTTTTTTGGTTGCATATGAATTTTTTTTCTTTTTTTAATTTATTATTATTATTATACTTTAAGTTTTAGGGTACGTGTGCACAATGTGCAGGTTAGTTACATATTTATACATGTGCCATGCTGGTGTGCTGCACCCATTAACTGGTCATTTAGCATTGGGTATATCTCCTAAAGCTATCCCTCCCCCCTCCTCCCACCCCACAACAGTCCGCAGAGTGTGATGTTTCCCTTCCTGTGTCCATGTGTTCTCATTGTTCAATTCCCACCTATGAGTGAGAATATGCAGTGTTTGGTTTTTTTTTCTTGTGATAGTTTACTGAGAATGATGATTTCCAATTTCATCCATGTCCCTACAAAGGACATGAACTCATCATTTTTTATGGCTGCATAGTATTCCATTGTGTATATGTGCCACATTTTCTTAATCCAGTCTATCATTGTTGGACATTTGGGTTGGTTCTAAGTCTTTGCTATTGTGAATAGTGCCGCAATAAACATATGTGTGCATATGTCTTTATGGCAGCATGATTTATAGTCCTTTGGGTATATACCCAGTAATGGGATGGCTGGGTCAAATGGTATTTCTAGTTCTAGATCCCTGAGGAATCCCCACACTGACTTCCACAAGGGTTGAACTAGTTTACAGTCCCACCAACAGTGTAAAAGTGTTCCTGTTTCTCCACATCCTCTCCAGCACCTGTTGTTTCCTGACTTTTTAATGATTGCCATTCTAACTGGTGTGAGATGGTATCTTATTGTGGTTTTGATTTGCATTTCTCTGATGGCCAGTGATGGTGAGCATTTTTTCATGTGTTTTTTGGCTGCATAAATGTCTTCTTTTGAGAAGTGTCTCTTCATATCTTTCGCCCACTTTTTGATGTGGTTGTTTGTTTTGTTCTTGTAAATTTGTTTGAGTTCATTGTAGATTCTGGATATTAGCCCTTTCTTTGTCAGATGAGTAGGTTGCGAAAATTTTCTCCCATTTTGTAGGTTGCCTGTTCACTCTGATGGTAGTTTCTTTTGCTGTGCAGAAGCTCTTTAGTTTCATTAGATCCCATTTGTCAATGTTGGCTTTTGTTGCCATTGCTTTTGGTGTTTTAGACATGAAGTCCTTGCCCATTCCTATGTCCTGAATGGTAGTGCCTAGGTATTCTTCTAGGGTTTTTCTGGTTTTAGGTCTAACATTTAAGTCTTTAATCCATCTTGAATTAATTTTTTTATAAGGTGTAAGGAAGGGATCCATTTTCAGCTTTCTACATATGGCTAGCCAGTTTTCCCAGCACCATTTATTAAATAGGGAATCCTTTCCCCATTGCTTGTTTTTGTCAGGTTTGTCAAAGATCAGATAGTTGTAGATATGCAGCATTATTTCTGAGGGCTCTGTTCTGTTCCATTGATCTATATCTCTGTTTTGGTACCAGTACCATGCTGTTTTGGTTACTGTAGCCTTGTAGTACAGTTTGAAGTCAGGTAGCGTGATGCCTCCAGCTTTGTTCTTTTGGCTTAGGATTGTCTTGGCAATGTGGGCTCTTTTTTGGTTCCATATGAACTTTAAAGTAGCTTTTTCCAATTCCATGAAGAAAGTCATTGGTAGCTTGATGAGGGTTTTAATCATAAAGAGATGCTGGTTTTGTCTAATGCTTTTTCTGCATCTATTACGATGGCCATACTGTTTCTGTTCTTAATTATGTTTATGTGGTGTATCACATTTATTGACTTGTGTTTTCAAATGATTCCTTCATCCCTGGTATAAACCCACTTGATCATGGTGGATTATCTTTTTTGACATGCTGTTGATTTGGTTAGCTAGTGTTTTGTTGAGGATTTTTGCATCTATGTTCATTAGGGATATTTGTCTCTAGTTTTCTCTTTTTGTTATGTCCTTTCCTGATTTTGGTATTAGGGTGATACTGGTTTCATAGAATTATTTAGAGAGGATTCCCTCTTTCTCTATTTTATGGAATAGTTCTAACAGGTTGGGTACCAATTCTTTGAATGTCTAATAGAATTCATCTGGTCCTGGAGTTTTTTCATTGGCAATTTTTTAGTTACCATTTCAATCTCACTGCTTGTTACTGGTCTGTTAAGAGTTTCTATTTCTTCCTGGTTTAATTTAGAAGGGTTGTATATTTCCAGGAATGTATTAATATCCTCTAGGTTTTCTAGTTTGTGTGTGTAAAGGTATTGATAGTAGCCTTGAATGATTTTTTTTATATTTATGTGGTTCTAATACCTCCTGTTTCATTTCTAATTGAGCTTACTTGGATCTTTTCTGTTATTTTCTTCATTACTCTCACTAATGGTCTATCAATTTTGTTTATCTTTTCAAATAACTAAGTTTTTGTTGTATTTATTTTTTGTATTTTTTTGTTTCAATTTCATTTAGTTCTGCTCTATTTTGTTCTTTCTTTTCTTCTGCTGTGTTCGGGCTTGTTTGTTCTTTTTTCTCTAGTTCCTTGAGGTGTGACCTTAGATTGTCTATTTTTGCTCTTTCAGACTTTTTGATGTCGGCATTTAATGCTATAGTCTTTCCTCTTACCACCACTTTTCTTTTATCCTAGAGGTTTTGATAGGTGGTGTCACTACTGTCATTCAGTTCAAATAATTTTTTCATTTCCATCTTGATTTCATGTTGACCCAAAGATCATTCAGGAACAGATTATTTCATTTCTATTTATTTGCATGGTTTTGAGAGTTCCTTTTGGAGTTGATTTCCACTGTGGTCTGAGAGAGTACATGATATAATTTTGATTTTCTTAAATTTATTGAGACTTGTTTTGTGGCTTACTATATGGTCTGTCTTGGAGAATGTTTCATATGCTGATGAATAGAATGTATATTTTGCAGTTATTGGATAGGATGTTCTGTAAATATCTGTTAAGTCCATTTGTTCTAGGGTATAGTTTAAGTCTATTGTTTGTTTGTTTACTTTCTGTCTTGATGACTTGTCTAATGCTGTTAGTGGAGTATTAAAGTCCTCCACTGTAATTATCTTGCCATTTTTCTCATTTCTGAGGTCTAGTAGTAAATGTTTTATAAAAATTTGGGAGCGTCATTGTTAGGTACATATATATTTAGGATTGTGATATTTTCCTCTGAGACTAGTCCTTTTATCATTATATAATGTCCTTCTTTGTCTTACTTAACTGTTGCTGCTTTAAAGTCTGTTTTGTCTGATATAAGAATAGCTATTCCACTTGCATGGAGTATCTTTTTACACCTCTTTACCTTAAGTTTGTCTGAGTCCTTATGTGATAAATGACTCTCTTGAAGACAGCAGATACTTAGTGAATTCTTATCTATTCTGCCATTGTGTATCTTTTAAGTGGAGCATTTAGGCCATTTGTATTCAATGTTAGTATTGAGATGTGAGGTACTATTCTATTCATCATGCTAGTTGTTGCCTGAATATCTTGTTTTGTTTTCATTATGTTATGGCTTTACAGGCCCCATGAGAGTTATGCTTTAAGGAGGTTCTATTTTGGTGTGTTTCAAGGGTTTGTTTGAAGATTTATAACTCCTTTCCATGGTTTCTGGAGTGCTGGCTTTGTAGTGACAAATTCTCTCAGCATTTGTTTGTCTGAAAAAGACTACTTTTCCTTTGTTTATGATTTATTATGTTTACTTTCACTGGATACAAAATTCTTGGCTAATAATTATTCTGTTTAAAGAGGCAAAAAATAAAACCGCAATCCCTTTTAGCTTGTACGGTTTCTGCTGAGACATCTTCTGTTGATCTGATAAGTTTTCCTACGTAGGTTACCTGATGCTTTTGCAACACAGCTCTTAGGATTCTTTCCTTCATTTTCATTTTAGATAACCTAATGACTATATGTCTAGGTGATGATCTTTTACAATGAATTTCTGGGGTGTTCTTTGAGCTTCTTTTATTTGGATGCCTAGATCTCTAGCAAGGCTAGGGAAGTTTTTCTTGATTTTTTCCTCAAATAAGTTTTCCAAACTTTTAGATTTCTCTTCTGCCTCAGGAACACCAATTATTCTTAGGTTTGATTATTTAACATAATCCCAAACTTCTTGGCAGCTTTTTAATCATTTTTTTATTTGTCTTTGTCAGATTGGATTAATTAGAAAGCTTTGTCTTCGAGCTCTGAAGTTCTCCTTGTTTGATTATATTGTTGAAACTTTTCAGTGTATTTTGCATTTCCCTAGGTGCATCTTTCATTTCTAGAAGTTGTCATTTTTATTTATGATATTGAATTCTTTGGAGATTTTTCATCTATATCCTGTATTTTTTTAAATTTAAGTTGGTTTTCACCTATCTATTTTGCCTCCTTGAGTAGCTTAATAGTCAATGTTCTGAATTCTTTTTCTAACAACTCATAGATTTCCTCTTGGTTTAGATCCATGTCTGGTTAGCTAGTGTGATCTTTTGGGGATGTTATAGAAACTTGTTTTTCTGGTCTATTCTCTTTTTGGTAGACAAGGTCACAGGAAAAATCTAGAACTCAAGAGCTGCTGTTCAGATTCTTTTGGACCATGGGGACAAAAGATTCATGATGTGGTGCTCTCCCCCTTCCCCTGGGGATGGGGCCTCCTGAGAGCTGGACTGCAGTGTTTGTTATTGCTCTTCCAAGTCTAGCCAACCATTGGAGCTACTGGGCTACAGGCTTGTTCTGCAGAGTGTGTGCATATAATCCTGTGATGTGATTTGTCTTCAGGTCTCTCAGCTGTGGGTACCAGCACCTCCTTTGGTGGAGGTAGCAGGGGAGTGAAACAGACTCTGTGAGAGTCCTTGGTTGTAGTCTTGTTTATTGTGAAGGTTTTCTTGAATGCTGGTTATTCCAGCAGTGAAGTTGTCATGTGGACAGACTCAGGACCTCTGTTTAGCCAGGATGTTACAAGCAGTGGAATTATCTGTTGTTTTCTCCTGACTTGGAGCAGGATTGTTCTGTTAGGCATTGCAGTAATGGCTTGAGTTGATTGGCCTCCGGCCAGGAGGTGGCACTTTGAAGAGAGCATAAACTGTGGTAGTATAGGGGGGATACAAGCTTGCTCTAAGTTTGCCTGAATAAGTATTTGGGTTTCTCAGGCTATGGGTGAGGCCACAGAGTTCCCACGAGTTTATGTCTTTTGTCTTTGGCTACCAGAGCAGCTAGAGAAAAACTATCAGGTAGGGGCAGGGTTAGGTCTGCCTGAGCTCAGACTCTCCTTGGGTGGGTCTTGCTGTGGCCACTGCTGGGGGTGAGGTGTGGTTCTCAGGCCAATAGAGTTATGTTCCAAGGGCAATTATGGCTGCCTCTGCTGCTTTGCACAGGTCACCAGGAAAGTGGGGAAAAGCTGGCAGTGACAGGCCTCACCAAGTTCTGATGCAGCCAGCATGGATAGTCTCACTCCCGCTGTGCTCCCTCAACAGCCAACACAGATAACTTTAAATCCAGACCTAAAGTGCACAAGGCTGAGATCTTGTCCCTGGCTACGAGCTTCCTAGCTGAGAAAGCAAGCAGGGCTTTCAGGCCCCATTCTAGTGCCATTTGATCTCTGTGCTCATATCTGTACTTCCTGTTCACCACACCACTACTCCCCCAGATTCTGCCTAGGAAAACTGGTGCTCCGTTGAAATTATTACAAAATTCAACTGGAAGTCTCTTTCTCCCTGTGGCCCTTCCCCAATACTACTGGCTGCCCTCCCCAAGGACCCCTGTGATATAAAATTAGAAATGGCTTCCCTGGGTACCAGGAGTGCCTCCAGGGCTCTTCCTGCTGCTTCTTCTACTTTTATATTTTGCTTGGCTCTCTAAATTCATTTCAGCTCTAGGTTAGGTTAATTTTTTCTCTTGTGATCTGGATTTTAATGTTCCCCAGTGATGATATGTGTTTGGAGGTGGACTTTCCTCCTCTCATACTTTGGGCACTCACAGTTTTTCAGCTATCTCACGGAGATTGCAGCAGCAAGCTGCTTTATTCAAAAGGTCTGTGAATTCTTTGTTTTCCTGATATCTTTCTGCAGTGGCTCTTGAAGCAAAAACTCATGATGTGAGTCTCCACACACTGTTCTGTTCATCCAATTGGAAGCTGTAAGTTAGTCCTGCCTCCTTTCTGCGTTTTATTTTTTATTTTTTATTTTTTTATTTTTTGGTGTTTCTGTCTTTAGGTCCTTGAGGAATCACCACACTTTCTTCCACAATTGCTGAACTAATGTACACTCCCACCAAGAGTGCATAAGCATTCCCTTTTCACCACAACCTCACCAACATCTGTTATTTTTTGACCTTTTAGTAATAGCCATTCTTACCGGTATATGATGGTATCCCATTATGATTTTGATTTGCATTTCTCTAATGATCAGTGATGTAGAGATTGTTTTCATGTGATTGTTGACCAAATGTATGTCTTCTGAATCCTACTGAATTTTTTAGCTTGTATATTGACAGAACCACTTTACTGATTACCCAAGATTTCTAGAATTCCCTATATCCAGTCAGTAACTAAGTCTTCCCAAATATCTCTTGCAAACACCTCCTTCTCACCTCCTAATATTTACTGACTCACTTAGGTTCTCATTATATTTTTGGACTATTGGAACAGTCTCTTAACTGGTTGCTCTGCCTCGAAGTTTAACCCTGTCAAGTTCTTCCCTTGCACTGTTGCCAGAGCAATCTTTCTAAAGAACGTCTTGAAATACGTCATTCTAGTGCTCAAAATTCTTCAGTGGCTCCCCATTGCATCCGATAAAATGTCCAAAGTGTTTATCCTTGCCATTCAGATCCATGCTACCATTCAACTAATGTATTCACTCTTTCCTGAGTGTGTCTTGCACTTTCTCACTTCCATACCTATATTCAATGCTGTTTCCTCTATAAGACACACCCTCTCTACATTATTCCTTTTTGCTTATTGGATTCCAACCATCCTTTAAGGTTCAATTTACATTCTTACTGCTTCCATGAAGCTTTCTCTGATTTCTCAAATAAATATAATTTCTCCCTATCCTGTGCTCCCACAGCACTACTTCTAAACCTCTCTAATCATGCTTATTACATTCTTCTGTGTATCAACTCATTCATGTCCATGATCTTGTGTCTCACTGGACTGTAATTTATTTAAGGACAGGGTTCCTGTTTTACTCACTTCTACTGCTGCTCTGACATGCTCAGTATAGCCTAATGCAGGATCCTGCTGCTCTGCACATAATCAGAAAACAAAGAAGTTTAAAATGCATGGAGCTGACTCCAAATAAAGAACAGAAACAGTTTTAGTACATCAATGTACTAGAGCTGTCACAGATCAAATGAATTCTTACTCTCACCACTAAGAAGAGAGAAAAATAAGACATGTCAAATCTACACAAAAGGCAATGACTGTAACCTGAGGATCCTAAAGAGTTAGCTAATGCACTGGGAATTCAAGGGCAAGGAGCTTTATAAATTACAAGAGACCAGAAGAGAGAATAAATAAATGTAAAAAGTGAGTTTCACTCCCATCAAAATGAAGCAAGATGTCTCCTGATAGTTACTCCTTGATAGGTAAAATCCAGAAAAAAAGACAGTCCTTCAGGCCTAACACAAAATTAAATCACAAGCTATCAGAATTGTAGATACTAACCAAAAACACATTGTACTAAACAGATTAATCACTTTACCTTGGAACAAATTAGAGTAATTAACAAATTACTTCATAAAGTATCCCTGGATTTAGGTAAAGCAATCAACAGGGCTTTCTGGTTTGACCTTGGGGACACAATTAGTTTCAGGGCTGATTGGCTGTGAGGGCCGTATGTGTGCTTAGATGAATAAGAAGGGAAACATTCTGATAATGGTTTCAAGTACCACAGGGTCAAATAACATCCAGGATTTATGACCCAACTTATGAAAAAAAATACAAACCCTCACATGCACAAAAGCATTTCTCTAAATCCCAATTTGGCCATATTAGTAGAAGATAACAACAAGCAAAGTTATAAAAAGACACTATTGCCTAAAGCCAGTACTGTGGAGTTGGCTGAGCATATATTCATTGGCCATGCATTGCTATTTTCTATTCCCTCTCTCATTTTGTGCTATCTGTCTCTTCTCTATAGCTCCCCAAGTGCCTTATAGCTTCAAACTGCCCCATAATGACCCAGAATCTTTTCTTATTACCATCCTCCCCAGCAGTCAGGGCCTTGGATTTCTCTCTTCCCCACTCAACTCAAAATTGCCTTGTCTTTCATTCACCACCTTACTCAGCCTACAACTGGCTCTCCAAAGAGAGGCTGAGAACTCACAACAGAATGAGTTAGCTACCTCTTCTAAGAATATCAGTATATTAGTGGATAGTGACTAAATCCAAAAGTGTGAACCTCCAATTTTCAGGCATATCAGCAAGTGAGGTGAATAATTTTTTCCTCTTAAAACAAGGGAACCTAAAATAAAGATATAAGTTCTAGTGCTGTCTGTCTTGCTCATTGACACCGTGGCTTTGAAATGGTCACTTGGTTTCTATGAAATGTGGTTTTCCTCTCTGAAAAACTGAACAGTTTATGTAGATTTCTTCCAGTTATAATAATCTGTACTCAATAACTCTCAGCACATTCACTACTCTACTTATTCAACCTCTGCATAAGACTGGCCCTAGTTGTCACCAATCACATTGACAGATGGAGAAACCTATATTTCTATTTCTTGCCACTGCTACCAAATATATTTGCACTCAACTCAATAGAACTAATTCCACCATAGTGGGCACTAAGTAAAACATTACTGATTAAAGTGATATAAGATTTTATCTGCACATAAGTACAAAAGAGTAGCTGTTGAGTAATGAGTTTTTATTCTATAATGGGAAGAATATTGGACTTAAAGTCAAGCGACTGGGATACAAATAAGTCTACTACTTATTTGCTCTGTTTTCAGTTATAGGTAAGTTTCTTAACTTCTCAAACATCCATTTCTCTGGTTTGTAAAACAAAATGCCAAATATTCTTAATTTCTACATCTGGGGGCTACAGCAAGGGTTAAGTAAGAAAATATATGTGAAGTCTGTGGCATAGGATATGGAAAATAGCAGGGGCCCAGTTTACAATGCTCTCAGCTGGAAACTGTAATTGCTCAAGATTTTATCTAAAAAATAAATCTTGATGCAAATTGAATGTGCATAATCAAAATTAACAGGCTCATCTGGAAGGATTGATCCGTGAGTGAATATCCATAAGTGCATATTCTCCTCATAAAATTATGAAAGAGAATAAGGAAAACTTTTTTTTTTTTTTTTTTTTTGAGACGGAGTGTCGCTCTGTCGCCCAGGCTGGAGTGCAGTGGTGCGATCTCGGCTCACTGCAAGCTCCGCCCCCCAGGTTCACGCCATTCTCCTGCCTCAGCCTCCTGAGTAGCTGGGACTACAGGCACCTGCCACCACACCCGGCTAATTTTTTGTATTTTTAGTACAGACGGAGTTTCACTGTGTTAGCCAGGATGGTCTCGACCTCCTGACTTTGTGATCCGCCCACCTCAGCCTCCCAAAGAAAAACTTTTAACCACTGTGACATCCAAAGAAATGTCACTAGGATATTCATGTGTACATTTTTTTTTCTGCTTAGAGACAAGGAGAAGAAAAAGGAAAAGGAGCATTTTATTCTTATATATTGTCTACTTCTCCCCTATATGTCCCAGAGGCAATTACTATTGTTCTTATTTTGTATTTATGAAAATAGAACTGTGGAATGCCTCCTGAAAGAAGTAATAGAAAGCCATATTGGAAGCATTTGCAGCTAGCTAATAGTTGACTAGAGCCTCTAAATTAAACATTTCTGCTGCTTTTAACAAAGAACTTTTAGAGGTCTTCATTAAGACACAAGAAGTTTTGAATCTCTAAACCAGAATTTTGCTTACAAAGATATGTAGAGTGAGGCAGAGGTTATACAGTTCCTTTTATTTCTATGCACACTCAAGTATTTTAAAAACGAAACAAGAAAGATGCTTTTAATCATAAATAAATCATGCATAACTTGGGTTTCATGTCAAGTAAGAATTTTGTGAAATAAGCAATTTAACCACACATGAGCTAAACACATTGTTATGTATTTCTTTGTCTGTATGGTAACTTTATCCTTGCACTATATTTAGCCTCCAATAGCAAGTTCCCATCAATTCAACACATTATTATTATGTGAGAGCCTGGGCTAATGGCTATGGGACCCAGAAATGAATGAGACTTTATCTCTGCCTTTCATGAAACACACCAGTTCCTTGTTTGGGAAGTCAATGAGCATGACTCTACATATCCTAGCTTAAATGACTGAGTGATATCATTAGCTAGGAGTAGAAAGGAAGGAGGGAGAACAAATTTGGAGGGGAAAAGATGAGTTTGGTTTTGAATAGGTTGTATTGACATGCCTATAGGACACCTACCCGGAGAATTCTAGTACCATAGATAGATGGCCTGATGTTCAGAAAAAAATTCACAATGGGAGATATATATTATTGAGTCATATTCATAAAGGATGCAGTTGAAGCCAAGGGAGTGAATGTGATCACACAAGAAGAACAGGTAGAATGAAATGAGAAAGGAAGCTGAGACATCACTGATTGAACCTTAGTATCTACTTTTGTTCCTTCCTCAAATTCCTCTAATACAGCAGTATGGATTTTTAAAAGTCATGAACCCACAGATGCAAAGCGAGAAAGAAAGGAGACAACCATATAATTTTAGAAGCTGGAAAGCAGGTGGTTTCATGTTAACTAATTTAACAGCTAGAAGAAAGTGATTGCCTCTGGAAAGCAGGAAATGTTAGGGGAGAGATGCAAGTGTACTACTGATTTTTATAACTCTTTTGTGACAAGCCTAGCAGAAATCTGAATACATGTGGGTTGAGAAGTAAATTCAAGAAGAAGAATTCGAGACACCAAATATTAACTATGTTTACAAGAAGTTTGGTTATGAAATGAATGAAGCAGATATAGCTTGAAGCATTGGGAGAGGAATAAAGGATTTGGAGTTTGTGTAAAACAGTTGATACTGGAACACATTTGCAAGCTGTGAGAAAAGGTGAGAAGAATTAAAACGAGGTTCAATGATATAGGAGAGGAGAAGAAAAAGAATGAATGACTACAAGAACATTGGATGGGGAAGTAGGAGAGAACTGTCACCTGATGGCATTTTTAAAAGATAAACAGAAATGTAGGTTATCTGCTCAAAATGAGAAGGCCAGAAGTGTGGGCCTGAGAAGAAAAATGAAGGTTTGGAACAGCTGCTGTGGGAAAAAGTAGAAGAAGCCAACTATGGATGAGAAACGGATTAAGGATAAGAGTTGAGGGCCGAGCTGAGATTGGAAAGCATGCATTTGTCATGAAGCCAATGAACATGAATATGTAATTTTCCCCAGATGGGTCTTCAGCAGCCTGGGAACAAGAACAGGCAAAGTGGACCACTGAACTGAATCAAGCCTGGGCAGGAATTGCCAAAGCTGTGAGATAGAAGGTGAAGAAATCAAAGGAATGGAAAATGCTTGTGAAAGTGTCCTTGAAATGGGGCCCAGAATAGAGAGGAAGGGAGAAGACAGGTTGTGGCTGCTAGCCTAAGAGATTAAGTAAGAGAGAAGAAAATGAAGGCCAAAATAAAAACAATTCGATTGATCACAAGACCATTCCTTGGTGTTTCAGATACAAGTTCAGGTGACTATTGCCTCTATGACCAAATTTCTGAACTCTTTTAGCTGGATAGCTGTTGATTTTCCAGTAAGTGCACTGTTAATTAGGTTCAAATGATTGCTTTCTACCATGAGTTATTTCACTGTGGTGATCCAGTTTTCCCATTATTTTTAATGTATTTCTCTCAACTAATCTTGAGGCACAATGAGGAGAAGTATGTATTTAATAATCTCCTTTCACATGTGGCTCTAAGTCTGGCTCTGCCTCAGAGACCCATTACTGTAGGGAACACAAAGAACATTTGGAAGCTATCGATTTTCTGAGCATCCCAACGTGTGGCCTGCCCTGCAAAGAAATCTGGCTAATCCCTTTTTCAGTCCTCCTCTAGAGGGCAGCTGCTTCCTTCATCAGTTTGGAAGCACAGCTCCTTGCCCAGATGGCTGTTCACCATTTGCAGGTTCCCATTTTACAAGTAGGGAAGTGGGAGTTGGTGGGTGGTGGGTATTCATTCACCAGAGAATACAGAAGACGTAAGGCCTGTCAATTCCCAATCCATACAGGCCTCCTCTAGCCTTCTGGATAATGTCACCAGGGTTTTAAGAGAAACTTTTACTTAAGTCCACAAAGTTGTGGATTCAGACATGTTTGCATCAATAGTAATTGCCCCTAGCTAATGAAAAGTGTAGAAGTAACTTCTTTAGCTTCCCTTTAGTTAGGGGAAAATGTCGTATACCTCCTGCCTTAATTTATTCATTATTAAATGGTTTACTTAAGATAAATATTTTTGTGGGGAAAATATTACCAGTGATTTTAAGATTACCAGCTACGATAGAAGGCAACAAAACATTTAATTGACGTACCTTACATTCTCATGGAAATAAAGTTTATGCTCACAGAAGGTGTAACATAATTAGAGTCCATTATATTGGTCTCCTGCTCCTTACTATTGGAAAACGTAAACTTGTTGGGGCTCCTTGATAGATTATCTGTGCTACTGCACATTATTCATCAAATGGGAATTTCACAGAAATTGATACTGTATCATTTGCCTTAACACAGCCTTTCTCTGTTCTTACGCCCCAAAGCATAAAAGTTCTGAATGTTTGTTTGGCTATTCCATTCCCATTGAAGCCTCAGTATTTTTCCTAAATATTGCAACTTTACTATTATGTATCCAACTGGAACAAAAATCCAATGAGAGAGAGACTTGAAAGCCAACATCAGTTGTTCATAGAGCAAATGTTCAAGAGCTGTGTAAAGTACTGGTTAAACAAGCGAGCTAACATAGCTTTGACTACAACTCTTTCCCATCTTTGTTTGAAATATGAAGAACGAATTTTGGTACCAATATCTCAGTTTTGTTAGCAGAAAAAGCTTTTAGACTAACATTTGTAAGAATAATTCAGTTATCATAGAATATATAGGTCTGCTAGACATTTTCGGGAATCTGTAACCAAAGGCACAGAAATATGACTGTTAACCTACATGAAAGTGGCACTATTTCTAGTTTCATAGGTTTAAACCAAACCAAAATAATCTAGTTCTGCTTAAAATGAAAAATAAAATATAGCCTTTGGCTTACCTTGGGACTAAATTATATTTACTGAAAAAGTCCTTCAAATACTTAATTGAATGCTTCTTGGAATGAGAAATTGGGTCTGTATATGCATATGACTTCAGCTAGTTCTTTGCTAATTTTAACTTGTACTTATTTTCTAACCTCACTCTTATGTCGCAAAAATGATTGTGCAAACTATATTCAGTGAAGCTCAATTGTAAGACACTTATTCTCCTTTAGGTTTGAGATGGAGAAAAAACATTTGCTCTTGCCATACCTCTGGAAAGTTCTGCTTCTGCCTTTAAATGAACTCAGCTCACTAAAACTATCCACAGCAACTTTCATTTCACTGTTTTTTCTTTTATTTTATATTTTACTTTTTTGACTCTTATATCCTGTTACTTCCTTCAGGTAAATATTTGTGACCTTGGCATCTTTTTCCAGAGCCTTTGGTTTATGGGCTTTCATTCCACAAAGTACAGCACACCAGGAAGAAAATGTTGTTTCAAAAGTCTGACATATTTTTTTTACACTAGAGAGACTCATTCTCTGAAATATTCATTAAAATAAAATCCTTCCTTACCGTGAACCAGAATATGACAAGGGTTAAGGGTAGGTAGGAGAATCTCCCCAGCTGAAATTTTTGTAACAGTAAAGAAAGAAAGACAGCAGCCATTTTTAGATAGATATGTGTATGTTACAGTTTTTGTCAGGCTGAGTGTGCAGCTCAAAAAATTAAACAATTCTAGTATGTTACAAGGATTAACTACTATATTTCAAAATATTTGTAGGTTAGTTTTGCAGGAGAAAAAGAACAGCTTCGTCTAATGGAACAAGGATATTTACTGCAGAAGAAGCCAAGAAATCTGTTTTTTAAGCATATTTGCAATAGGAAAAAGTACCCAAAAGAGAGCCCTTTTTGTAGAAAGACTGGAAACATTTTCTGGGTCATTTAAAATGCTGTCCAGTCAACCATGGCCAATTTATGATTAAAAGCAGAAATGAAAACTGAAATAAAACTGCAAAGTGTCCTTTTGGTAGGATTTTCTTTCTCAGAAATGTATAATAGATGTGATTTATGTATTATCCACGTCTGATGTGCTAAGTCACTGAAATTCCCTTTAAAGAGGCAATTTATTATTAAGGACCCAGGCCCTAGCTGTAAGGCCACAGTAAATTGGAATGCAAAATAACTGTTAGTCCAGTTGCTAGCAGTCCATTTTAATACCTCAGAAATGGAGAAAACAGTATACCTTAACAAAACGCAACTCATTGTTTTGGCCCAGTAGGTAATCATGTACATGTGATTTCAAGAACTTTAGAAAAACCATCCCGATCCAAAATATTTCCCTTGAAGCCTATTTTGTTGATTGAAATTTCTACCACGACAGTATCTCTTTGGGTTAGAATGCTGTTAAAATAGGTCTACCCTTGAGAGGTAATATACAAATAGCCATGAACAGATTAATGTGGCTTCATTATCCATTCCTTGGTAGAGAGAAAAGTTCTGACAATGTTGGGAAGACTAAGGATGTGCATGTACAATACAACAATGAGTAAAAGAAGATACTGGATTTTTGTTGGATCCCACTTGGAAGGGGAGCTTGAGTGTTAAGGACATAGGGACTGGATAAACTCTAAAAGGAAAGGCGGCACACCATAAACCATGATGTGGTAGAAAGAATACTGACCTGGAAGTCAAAACACATAGTATCGGTTCCTTTTCTAGAAATATCCCATGACCTTGAGCAAGTCCTCCCCCTCTCTAAATTCAAATTTCTACGTCTATCAAAAGTGGAAAAGATAGATGGAATAAGTAATCTCTGAAGTCCCATGCAGCACTCTCTAATCCAAAAAGATACGGGCAGAGTACAGCTGAGGGTAAGGTGGCTATTTCACCATTTTGTTCAGCCCCAGTCTTAACTTCTGGGCTCCAAATAAATATCTGTGAAGATGCTATGGAAACAGTAAGAAGCAAAGTAGAGTTCCCCTTAGAGGAACTCATTACAAGGAATAACAACATTCCTTATCAAAAAATAATTCTTTTTTCCCATTGCTCCTCCTACTCTGTCATTATTGTGATTGCTAAAACCAACTGACTGCCTATTAAAAAATTATGTGCCAGTTTTCTCTATCTAACACAATATATTTTTAACTTTTTTAAACTTTATTTTCCACATTTCATCTACTAAAGACTCAAAGCTTACCAAACCAAGTTTCTTTTTAATTTTTCTGGCTGGCTTTTCAAATATGTGTTGTAACACAACAAGAAAAAACAAAACAAAACATGAAAATGATCATTATAAGGGTGAGACACCAAATGAAAAGATGGAAAGCATTTAAAGGGTAGTACAATCCTTCCTCTTACCAGTATGAGATTGCTTTCTATGATTAGCCTTCACAAATATTGCACAGTCCATATTTAAATACCATAAATGATGCTGTCACATTCCACTGGAGACCATGCCTTAGTCTAAAAAGATTTCACTGTCAAGAACTTTGTAACTGTTACTAAGCCTAAACTCTCATCTTTTACTCCCATGCTTTCTTATTAAACATTAAGTAACAGTAAAAAGGAAGTACCCACCAACACCATCACCATTTTGTTCACCAATTTCCACATTTCGAAGCCACAGTTGAACCCACTTTCTTTGGCCTGTTCTTTCAGCCCTTTAACCTAAGGTGTTTTGTTTTTGTTTTTGTTTTGCTTTGTTTTGTTTTTTGTTTTTAGACTAGAGTGCAGTGGTGCGATCTTGGCTCACTGCAGCCTCAACCTCCCTGGCTCAAGCAATCCTCCTACCTCAGCCTCCCAAGTAGTTGAGACTACAGACGCACACCATGATGTCCTGCTAATTTTTATATTTTTTTGTGTAGACAGAGTTTTGCCATGTTGTCCAGGCTGGTCTTGAACTCCTGGGCTCAAGCGATCCACCCGCCTAAGCCTCCCAAAGTGCTGGGATTACAGGTGTGTTCCACTGTGCCTGGCCAACCTAAGCTGTTTTAGACCAACTTGTTCTGTTCAAATTTGCTTGAGCCTCTTCTCATTGGACAATAAGGCATTTCTGGGTTCATTCACTGCCATTAGCAAATGACTAGTTTCTTTTGGCAACTGTAGCTTGGTTTCAGCAAAGGCATTTCTTTGGGTCACACCACTATACTCTAGCTGCCCGACTTGCATAGGAAAAGCACTCCCAATGCTTTCTTTATCAGAACAGAGACAAACTTAACGTTTTGGGTAAGATGCATCTTGAAAAATGGTTCCATCTTTGAAATGTTACTCTCCATGTAACACAAAGTTACCTTTGGCCTATTGGAAATCTGGACTCTAATTGCTTGTTTTGGTGTAGTCATACCTGCCTAAAAAAATGGAAATTTGTTTTGGAAGTATTATTTGTGTAAAGTACAAAACATTTTTAAATGGCTCCCTCTGGCAAATGTGGGCCTCATGAGAAAATCACAAAGGAATCTGGCTGTGTTTAATCTTGTGACTCTCCTGGAATATTATGGAAATAATACATTTGAAACAAGGGAAATAGAGGAGTTCTGGAGTTCCCTGAAATAATAAATTTGAAACAAGGGAAATAGAGGAATTCTGGAGTTCCCTGGGGACTTTAGGAATTGTCATATATATATATATATATATATATATATATATATATATATATATATATATCTCAGCTATGTTGACATTTTTGTGAGATATATAAATAAGCATGGTTTCTGCCTTCATAGTGCTTAAAAAAGATAAGCTATTTGTCCTGAAAATCATAGTCTGAATATGGTCAATATCATTAAAAATACATAAATTAATTGCTAAAGGAATTTGGAGATTACAAATTATTTCCAGCAACAGGAATCTGCAATATCTGATTCAATAACAAAAATTAAATATTTGTTGACTGAATGAATGAATGAGTGAGTGAGTGAGTGAGTGAAAGATTGTGGGCAAAGGATAGGGCAGCTGCTTGAGTTGAACCTTGAAGAACATAAAGGATTCAAATAGACATAGATAGAAATAGTACTTTCCAAGAAAATAAAAAACACAAGCAAAGATGGGAAAGCCCAAGGGATGAACTTAGAGTTGGTTGATCCAATTTGGATGGAGGAGAAGCTTCCTAAAGAGAAGATAGGATCATACTGTGGATAGACTAAAATGAAAAGGTAAACATGTGTGTGTTTTCACACCAGCCACTTCCTCTCTGGCACATTTAACACAGTCCTTGTTATTTTCTGGAGCTCCTCCATCTGTCTGAATCCTTCTCAAAAATACACAGTATTTAGCTTCCACTCCAAAGCAGGGTTGGCATCAAAAGGAAGTTCATGCCTTCATCTTCGGCTCCTGATACCTGAAACATACCCCCACCACCAAGGTGTACCCTGACCTTGATTATGGCCTTGTTGTAATGATAATCTGAAAATGAACAGTCCCGGCCTTAGCAGGCTTGACTTTCATAATTATCCTTCAAATTGCCTACTCTAGCACTCCTTTTCTTCACATACAATATCTTTCTCCACTCACTTCCTGCAAGGTCAAACCGTGAGTTTCTATCTTCATGGAAGTTAAATATAGTCTGGGAAAATAGGGATAGACCTTAGCCCTTCCCATTCTGGTCATTTCATTGAAATTAATATTATCTATTCATGAGTAAATCAATCAAGGGAAGTCATGCTGAATTAGAATCAGAAGCAGCATTTGTTTCACATGCTGTGCACAAATGTACATTCATGGGGACAAATCATTCTACATGTCCAGGGAATTTTTAAGCCTCGGTGCTTCAATGAAAAGAATGATTATTTCATTTCTAAGCTTTCTATAAGTGAGTTTTCTGGACTTTCAGTTTTCCACTGTGTTCCACAACTCTAAGAAATCTTTCCAATGTAATATAGTATACAGAGCATGTATAATTCTGAACTCTTTGGAAATCTCATGTTTTGTGACCCTAACTATTCTAGGTGTCAAAGATGATTGAATGATATAAAGTTGCAGGCCCAAACATTTCCCAACTTAGGTAAATTTCCTTGTAAGCATTAAGTGGCATGTATATTTCATAATTGCAAATGTCCAACTCCTCAAAAACAAGATCCATGCCTTATTATATTCTACATCTCCAGTATATAATACATAGTAACTGCACAAAGATAAGTTACTACTGCTGAATGGTGCTGAGGAAAGGAGATAATCATTCACAAAAATATACTGGTGAAACACATTTGATTATCTCCTTCCATTTAATCCATTCTTAATTTTCCACTGTACACTACTTTTTCCTTCATTTGGGGACATTGTATAAATTTTAAAAAGATATTTCATCCTTAAGTAAAAATAAATAAATCAGTATATTATTGCACAACCCGATCAACCATACATGGCTGCCCTACATGGAGGAGACAGGCATGGATGAAGGCACAAATACATCCATACTCTTGCCAGCTCTCACACACCTTGGATGTGCTAGGATACACATTCTATAGGAAATGCTTGCATTTTGAGCCCCTCTCACTGATGCACAGATAAGGTGACTGTATCAGGTTTGGAATATTTCTGGGAGTTTAGTTTAGAATCAGACTGTGAGAGTGGTGAGCAACAGAGAAAAGCATCTTCAGGGGATACATCTGAAGTGTAGCCTGGATAAGGGGTAGCTTCATACATATGTATTTGTCAGTGAATGTGTCCATGTGTGCTCTCCCAAGTGTGTAAAGCAGATGTATGTGCTACTATGAGTTTTCATTGGATGGTACTCTTCTCTGCTGCCTTAAAACTTGCTTAATAGGTGTGAAATCTCCATGCTTCTGTACCCTTCTTATATGTTAGTATCTATCCATAATATAAAAAGTCTCCCTTTTAGGTAGAACATCCATTGGCACTGGACAACCTGAATACCTATACATAGCAGCCCTATCCTCATCACTGAGATTTTATCTGACCTTTGTGCAATCAACAATATTGAGGAAAATCTGGGCATCTGGTAGTCCTTTTTGTTGCTGGTGTTACCTTTGGGTAGTGGCAAGTAGGAGTGGGCTTTAGCCCTGTTCAACTTGCCTCTCTAGAACAACTGCAGCTGATATTGCCAACCGTGTACTATTTGGTGCTTGATATGCTCCAAGGTCACTTTCATTGGACATTACAAAATATCTGTTCACCAGAGGGAAGTTAAATTTCTCTGCATTATTCACAGATTACTACGATTATACCAGAACTTCAGCTGCAGACTAACTCATTTTCCTAAATGGTTTTGTCTAATAATGTTTCTTCTTCTATCTAAATGCAGTATATTCTAGCTAAGCCAAACATAAACAGAGCCACTAGTATATTTTATACAGACAGTATTATTCTCTTATCAGAAGTAATTAATGCCTTTTCAGAAGAGAATGAATTAGCTTCTATTTTGCAATTTGGTTGAGTTAATCCATGAGGCTAATTGCATTTTTTCAATGAATCCCATTTCCAGTTGATGCTTTCTACGTAATGAAGCCTTCTCTTTGGAAGTTCACTTTGTAGACTCACTCAATCTGATGAATATATTATGCATTTTCTGGACACCTACAAATATAAATGATTAATACTAGTTACTACGAAAGATGAGACAATAAAGACAGTTCATAGCTATGAATGAGGTGAGGTGATTGAGGGCATATGAGACACACCTGGATTTTACTTTATGTCATGTGTATAATGAAAAAACTGCTAGGCTTTTTTCATTTTACAAATATTAAATTATATTCTAATGTAATTTTTTTCAAACTAAGATTCACAAAGATTTTGATATTCCTCCCATAACTAAAGAAAAAAATTAAGAATAAAAGAATCTAGAGATGGTTTTGAAAGTTGGCAAGCCTTCAATGGCCAGGAAAATATAACTACGCAGCAAGAAATGGATCTCTCCGAGGAGAAAAATGGTAAGAACAGGGCTGGAAAATAAGAAAGCAAATGGCCTATAGTGGGGCATTAAGGAGGACATTCTCGGCCAGCGGTTGTGTTCTCAAAAGTGGAGTTGCCTTGGAAGGCTAAAACCAGACTAAAGAGACTTTGAACAGTAAAGTTAGTTATTAGAACTCCTGTGACCAAATCTCACATCCTTCCCCAACTTCATTCAACTAAGGGGGAAATCAATTTAGCTCAATAAATTTCTGCAGTGAATTTTTCACTTCTCATATCACTCCCTTTTTGCCTGTAATAGATTTTCCCCTCCCAATCAAGCTTTTCCTTCACTTACTGATTTTTCTATTTATCTTCTTTTTTATATAAAATGCAGAAAAAGCCCTCTTGCTTCAAAATATAAAGAGAAGGGCTGGCTGGAACTCAGACCCTGGCAGGGGTAGTGGGTCCCTTAACATGCTTTGACACTATGGGAGTGAGAAGACCAAGAGGAATGTGGCATATTTGGTACGTTGACTCAGGAGAGTGGCCCATGCAGTTAGACGTGCAACATATAATCACCGTTGGACACGTGGGTCCACAGCACCAGGATCAGAATACTGTTAATATTGTACTTAGTGTTGGGATCTTGATGCCTACCTTCAACACACACAAAGGAATGGGTCTTGCAAATTATATCTTTAAAAAAGACAATTTAAAGAAATTATACATTTCAAATCCTGAAACTGGACAAATGAGGTACACAACTGAAAGAAGGTGAATTGTCCAAAATTTCATGAGAAAACAGTCGTGGCACATATTGGTGAACTGATAAATGTTACTCCATTAAGGGATAAAGCTTCTATGTCATGGTATTAATTGGTCAACAAGTTTTGATAGTGAAAGGATTACCCACTTACTGGTGTATTCTCCTCAGGAATGAGATGAAAGTTGACTGAGAAGCAAAAATTAAAAACTTACTGAAGGTGGCATTTCCTTTCTGTTTAGAGAACTTCTTCTAACCATTATTTTAGAGTAGGTCTGCTGGTAACAAATTGTCTTAGTTTTTTTCCATCGGAGAATGTTTTGATTTTTTTTCTCTGCTTTATTCCTGAAGGATATTTCAGCTGGTTATAGGATTGTGGGTTGACAGTTTTTTTTTCCTTTAACACCTGAAAATTGTTGTGCCACTACCTTCTGACTTCAGTGATTTCTGATTAAAAAAAAAAAAATTCCATCATTCAACCTGTTCTCTCCCTGTATGGTAAAGTATTGTTTTTCCTCTGGCTGCTTTCAAGATTTTTTCTTTGTCTTTAGTTTTCACAAATTGAATCATGATGTGACTTGACACATATTTCTTTGGGTTCCCTTGTTCCAGATTTGCTCAACTTCCGAATATATGAGTGTATGTTTTTCTCCATGTTTGATAACTTTTCAGCCATTTTTTTCTTTGAATACTCTTTCTGCCCCACTCTCTCCTCTCCTCTGCTCTCCGTTTGTTACTCCAATGATACTAATGTGGAATATCACTATTATTCCACAGGTCCCTGTGAGCTCCATTAGTTTTTTTTGTAAAGTCTGTTATCTCTTCGTTATTTGGCTTGTGTAATTTCCTCTCTTCTATCTCCAGTTCACTGATTCTTCCCTTTGACTCCTCCATTCTGCTCTTAAGCCCATGTACTGAGATTTTTATTTTGGTTACTATATTTTCCATTTCAAAATTTTCCATTTGATTCTTTTTATCAAATGGAAAAAAGTCCTATTTCTTTGCTGATTCTTTCTATTTATTTGCTTCAGGTCTGCTTATAATTGCTTGTTGAAGCATTTTTATCAAAACTGCTTTAAAATATTTGTCAGCCTTACTACTGTTGGGCGATGTTGAAGGAACTGACTCTCCACTAGGCCTCAGCTGACATCACCCCAGCAGGGAGTCAGACCAGCACCTTGTGCTGCCAGGTGAGAATGGAAGCCCAGGCTCCCCAAGTGTTCTTCTCCACTGATGCTGCTGAGGGAGAAACTTCTAATCAGCCAGTGGGGATAAAAACCTTGGCTCCTTACTTGGCCTTCTGTAACACCAAAGATGTTAGAGCACCTCATTACAGGCTCACACACAAGTTAGTCTAGGTGCCCCACTCAGCCTTAGATGAGTGGAACTATAGCTTTTTCTGTATTGTTTGGCTAGAGTAGAGGTATTATTGTCTCAAAGTTTTCTGTCTTATTAAAACTCCTCCTTTCTTGTCCTTTGGCTAGAGAGAGAAGATTTTTCTTGGGGCTTTATTTTGTCTGTTCCCACTGGCATTCCAAGATCATCTGTTTCTTCAAGTCTGGGATATATGAAACCAAAATAAAATGCAGGGAAGTCACCACTATGTAGTTCCTCAAGTCCTGAGGTCCTATCTCGTCTACCATCTTCCCTCTTCCTTTTAGTTTTCCTATGTTCTATATATAATGTCCAGGGCTTTAAGTTGCAGGAGGAATAGAAAAAAGTACTTTTTTTTACTCTTTAAATTTTATTTATTTAAAAAAATTTTTTATTATTATTTTACTTTAAGTTCTGGGATACATGTGGAGAATGTGCAGGTTTGTTACATAGGTATACACATCCCATGGTGGTTTGCTGCACCCATCAACCTCTCATCTACATTAGGTGTTTCTCCTAATGCTATCCCTCCCCTAGCCCCCCACCTCCAACACGCCCTGGTGTGTGATGGTCCCCTCCCTGTGTCCATGTGTTCTCATTGTTCAACTCCTACTTATGAGTGAGAACATGTGGTGTTTGGTTTCCTGTTCCTGTTTTAGTTTGCTGAGAATGACAGTTTCCGGCTTCATCCATATCCCTACAAAGGACATGAACTCATCCTTTTTTATGGTTGCATAGTATTCTGTGGTGTATATGTGCCACATTTTCTTTATCCAGTCTATCATTGATGGACATTTGGGTTGGTTCCAAGTCTTTGCTATTGTGAACAGCGCTGCAATAAATATATGTATACATGTGTCTTTATAGCAGAATGATTTATAATCCTTTGGGTATAAACCCAGTAATAGGATTGCTGGGTCAAATGGTATTTCTGGGTCAAATGGTATTTCTGGTTCTAGATCCTTGAGGAATCGCCACACTGTCTTCCACAATGATTGAACTAATTTACACTCCCACCAACAGTGTAAAAGTGTTCCTATTTCCCCACATCCTCTCCAGCATCTGTTGTTTCCTGACTTTTTAATGATTGCCACTCTAACTGGCGTGAGATGGTATCTCATTGTGGTTTTGATTTGCATTTCTCTAAGGACCAGTGATGATGAGCTTTTTTTCATCTGTTTGTTGGCCGCATAAATGTCTTCTTTTGAGAAGTATCTGTTCATATCATTTGCCCACTTTTTGATGGGGTTGTTTATTTTTTCTTGTAAATTTGTT
Organism: Homo sapiens; assembly: GCF_000001405.40. Taxonomy (NCBI): domain Eukaryota; kingdom Metazoa; phylum Chordata; class Mammalia; order Primates; family Hominidae; genus Homo; species Homo sapiens. The sequence goes on along the minus strand of NC_000023.11, from coordinate 78,696,960 downwards.
TAATTTCCTTGTATATTCTGGATATTAGCCCTTTGTCAGATGGATAGATTGCAAAAATTTTCTCCCATTCTGTAGGTTGCCTGTTCACTCTGATGATAGCTCCTTTTGCTGTGCAGAAGCTCTTTAGTTTGATTAGATCCCATTTGTGAATTTTTGCTTTTGTTGCCATTGCTTTTGGTGTTTTAGTCATGAAGTCTTTGCCCATGCCTATGTCCTGAATGGTATGCCTAGGTTTTCTTCTAGGGTTTTCATGGTTTTAGGCCTTACACTGAAGTCTTTAATCCATCTTAAGTTAATTTTTGTATAAGGTGTAAGGAAGGGGTCCAGTTTCGGTTTTCTACATATGGCTAGCCAGTTCTCTCAACACCATTTATTAAATAAGGAATCCTTTCCTCATTGCATGTTTGTGTCAGGTTTGTCAAAGATCAGATGGTTGTAGATGTGTGGCATTATTTCTGAGGCCTCTGTTCTTTTTCAGTGGTCTATATATCTGTTTTGGTACCAGTACCATGTTGTTTTGAATACTGTAGCCTTGTAGTATAATTTGAAGTCAGGTAGCATGATTCCTGTAGCTTTGTTTTTTTTGCTTAGGATTGTCTTGGCTATACGTGCTCTTTTTTGGTTCCATATTAATTTTAAAGTAGTTTTTTCTAATTTTGTGAATTAAGTCAATGGTTGCTTGATGGGGATAGCATTGATTCTATAAATTAGTTTGGGCAGTATGACCATTTCCACGACATTGATTCTTCCTAGCCATGAGCATGGAATGATTTTCCATTTGTTTGTGTCCTTTCTTATTTCCTTGAGCAGTGGTTTGTAGTTCTCTTTGAAGCGGTCCTTCACATCACTTGTAAGTTGTATTCCTAAGTATTTTGTTATCTTTGTAGCAATTTTGAATGGGAGTTCACTCAAGATTTGCCTCTCTGTCTATTATTGGTGTATAGGAATGCTTGTGATTTTTGCACATTGATTTTGTATTCTGAGACTTTGCTGAAGTTGCTTAGCATCTTAAGGAGATTTTAGGCTGAGACAATTGGGTTTTCTAAATACACAATTATGTCATCTGCAAACAGAGACAATTTGACTTCCTCTCTTTCTATTTCAATACAGTTTATTTCTTTCTCTTGCCTGATTGCCCTGGCCAGAACTTTCAATACTATGTGGAATAGGAGTGGTGAGAGAGGACATCCCTGTCTTGTGCCAGTTTTCACAGGGAATGCTTCCAGCTTTTGCCCATTCAGTATGATATTGGCTATGGGTTTGTCATAAATAGCTCTTTTTATTTTCATATATGTTCCATCAATACCTAGTTTATTAAGAGTTTTTAGCCTGAAGTGGTGGTGAATTTTTATATCCAGCCAAGCTAAGCTTCATAAGCAAAGGAGAAATAAAATCCTTTACAGACAGTCAAATGCTGAGAGATTTTGTCACCACCAGTCCTGCCTTACAAAGCTCCATTTCCGTGTTTGAAGGAAGCACTAAATATAGAAAGGAAAAACAGGTACCAGCCGCTGCAAAAACATACCAAATTGTAAAGCCCATTGACAATATGAAGAAATTGTATCAACTAACAGGAAAAATAGCCACGCTAGCCTCAGAATGACAGAGTCAAATTTGCACATAACAATATTAAACTTAAATGTAAATGGGCTAAATGCCCCAATTAAAAGACACAGAGTGGCTAATTGGATAACGAGTTAAGACCCATTGGTGTGCTGTATTCAGGAGACCCATCTCATTTGCAAAGACACACATAAGCTCAAAATAAAGGGATAGAGAAATATTTACCAAGCAAATGGAAAGAAAAAAAAAACAGGGATTGCAATCCTAGTGTCTGATAGAGCAGACTTTAAACCAACAAAGATCAAAAAGACAAAGAAAGGCATTTTTCACTGTTTTTATTTTGTTTCATTGACACGTCTTTAAAATGGAAAAGAGTATTTTTGTGGTGTGGTAATTTTACATATTTCTTAATAATTCTCCACATGACTTTTTATGTCATGAGTTTCTAAAGTCTGAATTAAGTTTTGACCTGTTGGATCACAAATATTGTTTAGTTCCTTCAAAAATAATGTAAATTAGGTATTATAAACTATGGATAATCTTAAAATGTGTTTTCAAGGGTTATATACTGACTAAACTAAGCCTACATTTTGTTCTTTACTTTTCTTTCCTTTTTTTTTTTTTTTTTTTTTTTTTTGGTGTGTGATGGAGTCTCACTCTTTTTGCCCAGGCTAGAGTGCAATGGTGCAATCTTGGCTCAGTGCACCCTCTACTTCCTGGGTTCAAGCAATTCTCCTGCCTCAGCCTCCCAAGTAGCTGAGATTACAGGTACCCACCACCAAGCCTGGCTAATTTTTGTATTTTTTTCTTTTTTGGTAAAGATGGGATTTCATGTCGGCTAGGCTGGTCTCAAACTCCTGACATCAGGTGATCTCAGTGTCCCAAAGTGATGGTATTACAAGTGTGAGCCATTGCGCCTGGCCTAAGCCTACATTTTCATTAATGAAATGGAATGTTGGAACTTAATAGAAATAATTATTATCCCTAATATAATGCATAGTGTTTGCCAGACACTTTTCTAAGCATTTTCAGTATTTTCTTTTTACTGAATCCTTGTAACAACCTTATGAGATTGGTATTATTATTATCTATATGTTGCAGATAAATAAACCAATATAGAGAGGCTGAGTTATTTCTCACACAGTTAAGTAAATGATGTAATCAATATTCTAATTCAAGCAGTCTCAAAGCACAGTTTCTTTTCCATGCTCATCTAGCCTAGTAAGGAGCTCTCCTGCACTTTCTAAAAGAACGTATTGAAAAAGGCCAAACAAAACCTAACAAGTTGGGAGTAAATATCAGAAATATGGTCAAACAAAAATTAAAAGAGTAGAGCATACTCAGTTAGAAAACAGTCTTTTGTGTACACAGATTAAGCAAATTGTCAATGCCTACATGGGGAAAAATATCTTCCCAAATGGAAATTGTATTATTAGCAACTCATTCCCTTGGCTTAAAACTTAGATCTCTGAGAAAATGTAAATCCATCCTGGAAGAGATAACCCAGCAAGATTTTCCCTTTAGTTACATCTCAATGCACATCCACTTATTTGATTCTTTACAAAATGTCCGTCTTGATAGTAGAACAAGAGAATGTGGAGAGTATGAGATCACTGTGGACAAGAAAGAGAAGGCTGGATTGAGCTCAAACAGTGCTGCTTTTACAACTTGGACAAGGGCCCACCCTGGAAAAAGTGAAGAGATAGAAACTGGTGCATTACAGTTCAGCCGTGAACATCAATCTTTGTTAAAGCAGAAAGCTTTGGCAAAGAATAAAATAATATTAAGCTAATGAGGGATGTTGAGAGAGATTCAGACATACGCTAGGCCAACAGACTTTATAGCAGGAGGTACAAAGGCTCACCTATAGATGCCCCAAAACCCAAGAGGAAGGGAAATAAATCCCTAGCTATAAAAAGAGAGGGAAGTAATGGCAAGATTTGTAACCAGATTACAAATGTTATATAGGGGAATGTTTTCTACATTATTCAATATTTTATCTTTCTTCTAGTAAGATAAAATATAAGCCTATATGTGAAAAAATTTCAGGTTAAATACCCAGTCATTTAATGTTGCCCAAAATATAAGCAAGCAGTTTTTCCAGAAGGACACCCTAGCCTCAATTTGTAACAACATCCTTAGTTTATCGCATGGATAGTTTTCACAGCTGGAAGACGTTAGGGTTGTCCAAGTCAACAGTTTTCCATAAGCCAGAAAGAAAAGAATTTTCAGTGTTTGTTAAGACATACGAAAATTGGAGTCTTAAATCTTGCTTAGAATTAAAGGGACTTAACATGAGAGGAAATGAGTAGGAAGAAATGTTAAAGTGTTATAAAAGGGTAATCACTGTTGGACCATGTTGGAAACAGAACCAAACAGAAAACCACTATAGGTTCATAGGTAACATGCAGCAAAAAGATGTTGGAAAGGCTAACGAATTTTATATTAGACCTAAAGGTTTCATTTTGTTTGTAGAGGATATTTGCCATTAGATCTTTCACTTCATTGCTGCCTGCTCTTCTGCTCACATGCTTACATTCAACAGTGCCTGAGGAATTATTCTATCCAGGGAAAATCCTCTACTAGATTGTGGGAGTCAGCCAAGTTTTATGTCAGCACTCTTTATTTTCTTCTCAGGGTTCTTTTTGTTCCTTTTCATTCCACTCCATTTTCACTTCCTTCCACCCTACCAGGTCTAAGATTTGTTCCTGTGAAGCTGTACATGTTAAATGCATTTGTCCTTTCAAGAGTAACTCATCAGTACCTTTAAGGAGAACCCCAGTGACACGTGCTTGGGAGAGTAAGTAATCCAGACCTGGATCTTACCATTACAAAGTTTATAATCAATGGCAATCACATTTCCTTGCATCAGTCTCTAAAATGCTAAACATGAATATGTCTATTTCTTGGGGACATCTTTAAATAAACCATAAGCAGTCATGTTCAGTCCATGGACAATTCTGTTTACCAATATTATATTAAGACCTGAGATTAGTAGGTTGATGCAAAAGTAATTGCAGTTTTTCCTATTACTTTTAATGGCAAAACCCACAATTACTATTGTATCAATCTGATATCATCTTAACTGTCCATGTTTCTTTATTCATTTTTGAAGACGAAGTTGGAGCTGCTGCTTGTAAACTTTCTGAACAACCTTCAAACATAGAGACACTGAAACAGAACTCTTTAAAAACAAAAACCTTTAAATGGATATAATGGAGCTGGGTATTGATATGGCTGTCTGTACTAATGAATGAGTAAATAGTTGATGGAAACCTGGTATTATCGTATGATTTTAATGTTTCATTTCAGTCACTGTAAAAAAAAGGAAAACCTGGCCAGGCACGGTGGCTCAAACCTGTAATCCCAGCACTTTGGGAGGCCGAGGCAGGCGGATCACCAGAGATCAGGAGTTCAGGACCAGCCTGGCTAACATGGTGAAACCCCGTTTCTACGAAAAATACAAAAAATTAGCCAGGCGTCGTAGCACGCGCCTGTAATCCCAGCTACTCAGAGGCTGAGTCAGGAGAATAGCTTGAACCTGGGGGCGGAGGTTGCAGTGAGCCAAGATCATGCCATTACACTCCAGTTTGGGCAACAATAGTGAAACTCCATCTCAAAAAACAGAAAAATAAAAAAAGAAAAACCAACAAGTGAAATTTAGATGTTCTATTATTTGCAGATGGCATTACAGATGGAAAGGCAAAAAGGTAAAATTAAACATTTTAATTTTATGGTTTTTCAGTCCCTGTTTAAAGATTTGCTGAGGTATGATTGCTAAAAGAATGTGGAGTGTTGAAAAATTATATTCTAGGGACTTAAGAATTACTTGAGAGAAGTACAGTTCTGATCAGAGCAAGTTTAGGAATTTTAAACAATTTCCATCCTTCAATAGAAAACGGTAAAATAAAACTCAGCCTTCAATTGTTCATGAAGTCATTCAGCAAAAATTCATTGAGCACCTACTATGTGCCAAGTGTGGAGTTAAATTGAATTTCATCTCGGATTTCTTTGAGTAATGTTTTGTAATTCTCTTTGTAGAGATCTTTCCCCTCCTTGGTTAGCTGTATTCTTAGATATTTTACTCTTTTTGTGGCTACCGTGAGTGGGATTGCATTCTTCATCTGGGTCTCAGCTTGGATGTTGTTTGTGTAAAGAAATGTTATTAATTTTTGCACATTAATTTTGTATCCTGACACTTTGCTGAAGTTGTTTATCAGTTCCGGGAGCTTTTGAGGGGAGGCTATGGTGTTTTCTAAGTATAGAATAATATCATCTGAAAACAGGGATAGTTTGACTTCCTGTATTCCTATTTTGACACAAACAAATGAAAAAACATTTAATGCTCATAGATAGAAATAATCAATATTGTTAAAATGCCCATACTGTCCAAAGCAATTTACAGATTCAATTATATTCCTATCAAAGGAGACATTGACATTCTTCACAGAACTATAAAAAACTACTTTAAAATTCATATGGAACCATAAAAGAGCCTGAATAGCCAAGGCCATCTAAGCAAAAATAACAAAGGTGGAGGCAGCACATTACCCGACTTCAAACTATACTACGAGCAAACAGTAACCAAAACAGCATGGTACTGGTACAAAAACAGTTACATAGACCAATAAATAGAACAGAATAGAAATCAAAGAAATAATGCCACACACATACAACAAAATTGACAAAAACAAGCAATGGGGAAATGTCTCTCTATTCAATAAATGGTTCTGGGATAACTGGCTAGCCATATGCAGATGATTGAAATAGGATTCCTTCCTTACACTATATACAAAATCACCTCAAGGTGGATTAAAGACTTAAATGTAAAACCCAAATATATAAAAACCCTGAAAGGCAACAAGCCTGAACATAGAAACTGGCAAAGATTTCATGATGAAGATGACAAGAGCAATTGCAACAAAAACAAAAATTAACCAATGGGACCTGATTAAACTAAAGAGCTTCTGCACAGCAAAATAAACTATCAACAGAGTCAACAGATACCTTACAGAATGGCATAAAATATTTGCAAACTATGCATCCAACAGAGATCTAATATCCAGCATCTGTAAGGAACTTAAACAAATACATGAGAAAAAAAATAATTCCATGAAAAAGTTGGCAAAATATCTAAACAAATACTTTTCAAAATAAGTCATACATGTGGCCAAAAGGCATATGAAACATGCTCAACATCACTAATCATTAGATAAATGCAAATCAAAATGAGATATCATCTCACACCATTCAGAGTGGCTATTAATAAAAGGTCAAAAAATAACACATGCTGGCGATGTTGTGAAAAAAAGAAAGCTTATACACTGCTGGTGGGAGTGTAAATTAGTTCAGCCACTGTGGGAAGCAGTTTGGCGATTTCTCAAAGACTTAAAATAGAATTACCATTTGACCCAGCTATCCCATTACTGGGTATAAGAATCTTTCTACCATAAAGACACATGGATATGTTGTTCATTGTGACACTATTCACAATAGCAAAGTCATGGAATCAACCTAAATATCAACAGTAGACTGGATAAAAAATGAGGTACATATACACAATGGATTATTATGCTGCCATAAGAAACAATGAGATCATTTCCTTTGCAGCAACATGGATGGAGCTGGAGGCCATTATCCTTAGTGAGCTAACACAGGAAAATCAAATACTGCAGGTTCTCACTTATAAGTGGGAGCTAAACTTTGCATACATGTGGACACAAAGAAGGAAACAACAGATACTGGGGCCTACTTAAGGGTGGAGTTGGGGGAGAGAGAGAGGATTGAAAACTGCCTATCGAGTACTGTACTTATTACCTGGGTGACAAAATAATCTGTACACCAAACCTCCATGGCACATAATTTATCTATATAACAAACTTGCACATCTAGCCCTAAACCTAAAATAAAGGTTAAAAATATAAATTGAGTTTCAAGCAAGGAACAAGGCAGGTTCCACATGTGGGTTTTCTGCCGCTATTTCACTGCACTTTTGTTGAGAGAGCAGAAAAGCTTCTCTCCTGTCTCAAGATTCAGCTTCTACCCCTTCTGTTGTATTTTCCTCCTTCTTACTTAAATTATAGTGATTCATAAATATTTCACTGTAAAGGGGCTGAATGATTAAACATATCAGCTTCATCAGTATCAAAGGCCTTGTAATAATACCCCAAATAGCTCAAATTTAATGAGCATTGTATAATGCTTTATGTGTATTTGTTTCGTTTAATCCTACAAAACCCTTATAAGGAAGGCATTGTTATTATCTTCCCATTTGGCAGATGAAGATATCAAGTCACAAAATGGATAAGTAACAGTAAAACTAGCTGAGCCAGGACTGAACCTAGACAATCTGGCTCCAGAACCTGCATTTGTAATCACGAAGATATACCATGCTTCAAAATAGAAAATTATATCAGCATTAGAATGTATAATAAAAATCACCCGCTCTCTTCCCTCTCTTATCTCCAAATCGGGAGGATTCAGCTGAAATGCTGCCTCCTGCACTCAGTCCCAGCAAGAAGTCATTATTTCCTTTTCTAATTTTCCATTGCCCCATTTATAGACCTCTCTAAAGGCACTTTTCACTTTCAACCTAGAGTATAGGACTGCATGAAAACAAAGGCCAAGATGTCATATATCTGCTCTATTTATTTTCTACCTCAGCCACAATTAGCACATTGCCTTGAATATTATGGTTGTTCATTAAATTCCTGTTAAGTGAATTTATTGGATAAAATGGGATAACATATAAATTGATCAATGGCAGTTATCTCTCTCTAGACCATATGATTTTTTCATTCCTTACAATGTCATGCACAAGTAGAAACTTAGTATTTTTTGAAACTGTTGAAAAGTCTCTAAATTCCTATACTCAAATGAACACTAGCTCAGAAGTGGAAAAGCATACTGACTACTCTGTAAAATTGATCTGAAGGCCACCTCCATGTAGAGTCAACACTAAGCAGGGGTAGGAATCATGAAGCAATGAAATCTAGAAGTATATTCTTCATGTTAATATTTTCCCTATCTCCCAAATCTGTTAAAATTTCAATAATAACAATAATATCAGCAAATATAATTTTAACAGTTACCATGCATTTAATACCTTCTCTTTTTCAAACACTTACAATCCATCATCTTATTTAATCCTTATTGCAACTCTGTGAGGTATTTTTATTTCCAATTTACAGATAAGGACAACCAGGCTCAGGGGTTTAAATGACTGACAATGTCACCCAGCTCGTAACTGGCAGACCTGGGATTCAAACCAAGGTCTCTTTGATTCTAAAGCCTGGGCCCTTTCTACTTCATCTAATATATCACTAAACAGACTCATGAGGCTTTTTATTCTCTTCTCTAACCTACTACCCAAATACAGATTTTGTAGATGCAGCATCAAATTTTATCTTTTTTTTTAATTTGGAGACAGCATGGTTGTACATAAGATCTCAGACACAGGACCAGGCAGACCTGAGTTTGAATACAAGCTCCATCACTAATGAGCCATATATCATTGGACAAGTGTATTAGTCTGTTCTCACACTGCTATAAAAAAAGACCTGAAACTGAGTAATTTATACAGAAAAGAGTTTTAATTGGCTCATGGTTCCTCAGGCTGTACAGGAGGCATGGTTGGGGAGGCCTCAGAAAACTTTCAGTCATGGTGAAAGGGGAAGCTGGCATGTCTTACATAGTCACAGCAGGAGAAAGAGAGAGAAGGGGAAGGTGCTACACACTTTTAAACAACCAGATCTCATGAGAACTCACTCACTCTCATGAGAACAACAAGGGGTAAATCCACGCATACCCGTGATTCAATCACCTCCCACCAGGCCTCTCCTCTAACATTGTGGATTACAATTTGACATGAGATTTAGGCTGGAACACAAATCCAAACCATATCAACAAGTTACTTATCCTCTCTGAGTCTCAATTTTCTCATCTGTTAAAGGGGATTAAAACTAGTACCTCACTGGGCTATTGTGAGGAAAAATGAGACAATGCATATAAAGACCTCAGAAATAATAATTACTCAGCAAAGGTTACTAATCTTTGCTATTGCAAAAATAGCCTTGCCTATTTGTCATAATTATACCACATATTGATAATCTGTCAACTTTTTTGATATGGAGGAGATAAAAGAACACTGGTAACTGTTGACTCTTTCAAGCCAAGGATGAAAGTAAAGATAATCAACTCTGGTGAATGGTAAAATGGAGACATCATTGCAGCACTATTCACAATAGCAAAAACATAGGAGTTGAGCACAGTGGCTCATGCCTATAATCCCAGCACTTTGAGAGGCTGGGTTGGGAGGATTTCTTGAGCCCAGAAATTTGAGATCAGCCTGGGCAACTAATTGAGGCCCTGTCTCTCTATTTAAAAAAGTAAACAGTAAAACAGCATGAAATTGACCTAAATGCCCATCAGTGGTAGACTGGGTAAAGAAAATGTGGTACACATACATAGAATACTATGCAGCCATAAAAAAGAATAAAATGATGTGCCTTGCAGCAACATGGATGAAGCTGGAGGACATTATCCTAAAGAAACTAACACAGGAACAGAAAATGAAAGACCGCGTGTTTTCACTTATAAGTGGGAGCTAAACATTGAGCATATACAGACACAAAGAAGGGATCAACAGACACTGGGGCTTACTTGAGGGTGGAGGGTGAGGATGAAAATACTACCTATCAGTACTATGTTTATTCCCTGGGTGACAAAATTATCTGTGCACCAAACCCCCATAACATATAATTTATCTATAAAACAAACCTGCACATGTACCCCTGAACCTAAAAGTTAAAAAAAGAAATCATTATGTCAAGAAGATACCTTTGTGTGTATGTTCATCACAGCACTGTTCACAATAGCCCAGATGTGGAATCAATCTAAATGTCCATCAATAAATGAATGGATAAAGAAAATAGTTTATGCACACAATGGAATACTATTCAGCCTTTAAAAAGCATAAAATAATGTTTTTTGTAGCAACATGAATGGAACTGGAGGCCATTATCTTACTTGAAACTCCGGATTCTTAGAAGATTAGCATAAGTATCAAATAAGTTGGGTTCTAGTCCTGGCTCTCCAACTTACTAGCTGGGTTATTTTGTTAAACTCTTTAACCTTTCTGTGCCACAGACTCCTTCAACTAAAATATTCTTTCTAATTTAAAATGTTATGGGGTAAATAATATGCTACACTTAAATAGAATTTCTAATTTATAAAATGTATTTCCGTTTTCTCTCATTTGTTCCTTATAACATCCCTGGGGGATGCTCGGGAGGTGTTTCTACTCTGTTTGAACAAATCAGAAAACTATGGCCCAGAAAAATTACAGGATTTGCTTAAGGTTGAATGTTCTTTCCACCACACCATGTTGAATTTAAAACTGAGGCTTTATGGTCAGTTTAATAATCTACTTTTTAAAATCCAGACATCCATGCTAACATCCGTGGAAGGAAACCAAATTCAACATGGCATGTTTTCATTTACCATTAGCAAAAAAAATGATGAATCTTCATGGACAAATTTGGGCATGCCTTTATGAGTACAAATTTCTGAATCTAGTTGAAATGTCCCACCCAAACCACATAGTCTCAGCCTGTTATCTCATTGCACAAATAAAGACTTGAATAAAAGGAGGTTAAAAACCTAAATGAAAGCAAAAATATGAGGTTAATCCTGTTGCTTAAGACCTAGCCAGAAATCAATAGTAGGTCTAGTATTAGGGAGTTGCAGTCTAAATCCCACGTGTTTGACAAAATCCACCATTTTACTTCCAACCTACGTCAAGGCACTTGGCTACAGGGAGTTCTTTCAGTTTTATAATTGCAGTAGCTTTTAATCATGATAACAAGTTAAAGTATAAGGAGGCTCATTATTCTGCTTATAAGATAATCCTACTTTATTTTACTATATTGAGAACTCAGGGTAAAATATGGTGATAACTATGAGCAAAGGCAAAGAAAAGCACTATCCAAAGTTATCTGTTGTCCATTGAACAGCTAACTCAATTCATTTTCTTCCAAAATCAGCAGCAGAGCATTTTTGCTCTCCTATAACTATTGAAAATCATAGTTTCTATCAAAACTGAACCAATAGAAGGACATGGTGTTTCTCCAACTGTTTAATTTCACAAGGAGTACTTAGTATGCTGCAAATTTTTCCCTTTGAGGGTCAATGCAAACTTGTTCTCCTTTTGCTTCCTCTGAATATTGAAAAGTGAGCTCCAATGCTATAAAATTTTTCTTGAGTTCATATTGTTGTGACAGGAGGGTGCATTTTCACAGAAGAGGAAATACATTCTCTAAGGAAAAACGAAAATGAATTTCTCCTTAAAGAAGAAACAAACAAGATCTGGGCATGTCATCAATTGATGACAACGACATCTCTCTGGAAATACCTTGTTAACATTCTATTAAAATCATAGGCAACTCCCAAGATTCTAAACAGTTTCTGAATCTTTAGATAGTGTGATTTTTGTGAAAACTTTTCCATCAAAATCAAAAAACAACTGAAATTTATTCTCCAATGTTCTTTCATCTTCCCTCATTAATATATTTCTCTAACATCTCACATTTAGTTTGCACCTTTTTTGGAAGTGTCAAGAATGGGAAAGAGCTTTTAGAAAAGAAGAGAGATAAAATTCACAGACATACTCAAATCACTCCAGTTCTGGGAATGCCTCAGATAATGAATCTCACACCTTGATATGTGTCAAATGTAATACAAAAATGGCTTCAAATAAGGGGTATCTTTGGCTGATTGGCATTGTAGGCTTCATAAATATTTTTGCTTTCATAAGTATAGAAGAAAGTTCAAAGATCTAAATTCTGAACTAATTTAGATTTGTAAGTCTTTGAAGTTCCATAGCAAAAGCTATAGATATAGATATGATAAAAATTGATATTCATTTCATTGACAAACCTAACTCCCTCATTCATAAGAAATGAGATCGTTTTAAGCTGTAACTCAATCCCAGACAAATCTGCCATTCACTTGCAAAGCCCATCATTGGCTTTTTGCAATCCCCATTCACATGGTTCCATTTATGCTATTTTGTTGTTGGTGGTGGTGGTGGTGTACTGTGTTTGCTTGTTTTTTTTTTTCTATGTGATCCTCTTCAGAGTTTTTTTTTATTATTTTATTTATTTATTTATTTATTTATTTATTATTATTATTTTTTTTAACGGAGTCTCACTCTGCCACCCAGGCTGGAGTGTAGTGGCTGTATCTCGGCTCACTGCAAGCTCTGCCTCCCGGGTTCACGCCATTCTCCTGCCTCAGCCTCCCAAGTAGCTGGGATTTCAGGTGCCTGCCACAAGGCCCGGCTAATTTTTTGTATTTTTAGTAGAGACGGGGTTTCACCGTGTTAGCCAGGATGATCTCGATCTCCTGACCTCATGATCCGTCTTCCTCGGCCTCCCAAAGTGCTGGGATTACAGGCGTGAGCCACCATGCCGGGCCTAGAGTTTTCTTAAAGTGCATAAAACAGAAAGAAAGATATTTGAGCATAGGAGATTTTTATTATTTTTTATTTTTAAAATTTGTTTGTTTTGGATTCAGGGAGTACATGTGCAAGTTTGTTACATGAGTATATTGCATGATGCTCAGGTTTGGGCTTCAATTGAACCTGTCACCCAAATACTGAATATAGTAACTAACAAGTAGTTTTTCAACCCTTGCTCCCCTCCCTCACTCCCCCCTTTTAGAGTCCTGAGTGTCTCTTGTTCCAATGTTTATGTCTGTATGTACCCAATGTTTAGCTCCCACTTATCAATGATAACATGCAGTATTTGGTTTTATGTTTCTGCTATAATTTGCTTAAGGTAATTTTCTCCAGCTTCCATGTTGCTGCAAAAGACATTATTTCATTCTTTTTATGGCTGCATAGTACTCCATGGTGTATATGTGCTGCATTTTCTTTATCCAATCCAGTATTGACAGACACCTAGGCTGACTCCAATTCTTTGCTATTGTGAATAGCACTGCAATAAACATGCAAATGCAGGTGTCTTTTTGGTATAATGATTTATTTTCCTTCGGGTATATGCCCAGTAATCGAATAGTTGGGTCAAGTAGTAATTTTACTTTCTGTTCACAAAGGAGATTTTATTACAGATCAAATAAAAAGTTATCTTCATAAAGAATGAATATTAATTTATCTTAAGAACTTGAAAATTCAAACTCTTTTAAGTGCTAGATGATCACAAGTTTTCTATTTGACTCTAACCATTTCTTAAGTATAATGTCCTTGGGGCTTAAGTACTTTCAAAGTTGCTGGAATCATTATGCTTTCTGTAAATTGTTTATTCATATTTTTGTGAAATATTCAATATAGCTTTGCTATAACTACCATAGTCTTCTACTATGTCTTAATTTTAATTAATGAAATATTTTTGCAGTACTAACAGAGAGATGTGTTTTCATATATAATTCTCCTCCATAACTACACAGGGATTTTCCTCTGAATTCGTTCTTATGAAAGATAACTTAACTTCATTTGCTTGAAAAGCTTTGTAATATTTTTATTGCTAAAGAAAGAGCAGCTCTGAGCATTGTTTGGCTTTAAAGAATGAAAATGGTCTGGCACAGTGGCTCATGCCTGTAATCTCAACACTTTGGGAGGCCAAGATTGGGGAATTGCTTGAGGCCAAGAGTTCAAGACCAGCCCTGGCAACACAGTGAGGCCCTATTTCTACAAAAGAAAAAGTTCAGCCAGTCGTGGTGGTGTTATCTTACAGTCCCAGCTACTCAGGAGGCTGAGGTGGGAGAATTGTTTGAGCCTAGGAATTCGAGGATGCAGTGAGCTATGATTGTACCACTACACTCCAGCCTGGGTGACAGAGCGAGACCCTGTCTCAAAAATAAATAAATAAGAATGAATGAATAAAAGAAATCTTAAAAATCATTGAGTCCAACCTTCTTATTGCACTCATGATGGAAGTGAGGCCTAAAGAAGAGAAAGTATTTGCACATATGGGAGGCTAAAGAACTATGAATGTTTAAGAATGTTTTCATGAATGAACAAATGGATCAATTAATTGATTGGTGGATGATGGATGGATAGATGAGTGATGAATGGGTGCATAAACTGGGGGACCAATAAATATATATATATAGATAGATAGATAGATATAGATAGATAGATAGATAGATAGATAGATATATTTAGGTATATTTTTTTAAATAATAGTATTTGCAAAATGATCTAGAAGAGAAACTGTAAGTTTTCAACCTAGGCAGAACTGGGTTTGAATTTCAACTCTGCCACCTGATAGCTTTGTGGCCTTCAGAATGTTAGTTAACTTGCTGAGTTCCATTTTTTTAATCTGAAAAATGGGGATAATGAAGCAATGATGAAATTGAATAAGATATCTGTATAAAGTATCTAGCAAGTGCATCCTACACAGTAGGTGTTCAGTAAGTGTTTGACTCTATCCTTTTCTGTGACTCTTGCATTTTAATTTATAGCTTATGGAAATGCCAATGTTATTTCATAGAAATACCATGGAACTTCTTTACCATAGGTGACTCTAATCCAATGTTTCTCAAAGTGTGGTCCCTCAGACCAACAGCATCAGGAACACCTGAGAACTTTTAGATTTGCAAATTCTTAGGTACCATACTACACATACAGAGTCAGAATCTCTGGAGCTGGAGCCCATACATTTCTCTTTTATTAAATCCTTCAGGTTATTCTGATACATATTGAAAACTACTAATCTATATAATTGATATCTCTAGAACTGCTCGGTTTTCTAGAGCTACATAAATGCATAAAGACTGTATGAGTTAGTTTTCACACTGCTATAAGGATACTACACAAGACTGGGTAATTTATAAAGGAAAATGGGACTCATAGTTCCACATGGCAGGGAGGCCTCAGGAAACTTACAATCATAGCAGAAGGGGAAGCAGGCACTTCTCACATGGCAGCAGGCAAGAGAAAGAGACAGAGAGAGAGAGAGAGAGAGAGAGAGAGAGAGAGAAAGAACACAACTTATAAAACCATCAGATCTCATGAGAGCTCACTCACTATTATGAGAACAGCATGGGGGAAACTGCCCTCATGATCCAATCACTTCCCACCGGCTCTTTCCTTCAACACATGGGGATTATGGGGATTACAATTTGAGATGAGATTTGGGTGGGGACACAGAGCCAAACCATATCAAAGACCTTTGATTGTTTTTTTTCCTGCGGTCTCTTCTAAGTTATGACATTACATGTACATGCCATATTATGTCAACCATGATCCAGGAGGTGACATTAATTGACCCTTGAGCTCCAGTGACAGCTTTCTAATTAAACATAAACTTCACCGTGTCCGTGCATTGTGAGAATGTCCTTGTTTTATAATGATAACTCTAAACAGTCTCAACAGTTTTTAGAGGAAGCCACTATATGTCTTTGTTAAAAACCAAAACCTTCATGTTTCTTTAAATCTTACTTTAAATTATGAATTATTCTTTATAATAGTAATTCAAGACTAGTGAATACTCATGCTGGTAATTCAGTGAAGAGTGTATTTTTGTTTGAGTTTATAAAGAGCAGAATTAAGCATGGGCAAACAAACTCTAGGTCCTTTGACATGATTAAAGAAAGTTTCGTAAGTTGACCCATACAACCTTACCCAAGAAACTGATCTGTGGACACAGTGCCTAAGAAGAAACAAACATTTTTTTGGAGATGAAACTGCTTTTGCAACTTAAACCTTTAGAGTGATAACAATACCATTATCTCCTTTGCCATTTCTTGACCCAGGAGCTGGAGAACCAAAGGGTTCATTGATCACTGTAAGAAAGATAGAAGAGATAGCTACTGAAAGGTTTTGAAGGATCAGCATAAAGTCCTTAGGCCAATTAAAAGTTAATCACCTGGACTTGAGCATTAGAGATTCAACTATACTGAAGTTTCAAACAATTTCAACTGTACTCTGAATATTATTATTTCAGCTGGGATAGCAAGCCAAAAGTAGCTTCCACAGACCAAGTCATTTGGGCCGTGAAGCTAAAACAACTGAAGTTCCATGTCAACAGTGAGAAGAAAATTCATTCTGCTTTTTTAATGCTATTTGCGTTATGCTTCTATCATGTTCCAGTCTAATATCTTCAAGAGCAAAAGGTAAAATTCTGCAAACTTTTCAAGGACTTTTTACCATGCATATAGCAGATGGCTGAGTTTTGAAGGAAGAAAATTGTAAAACTGGCATAGCAGGAGATGAGTAGGGAGAAAGGTGATGAGCAGACAGAAACTCCTTCATCTGGTCTCATCAGCAGCTCTCTCATCCCTCTGTCCCACAAACACATTTGACACTGGGTAGCGCTGATCCAATTCCTGGTACCTATATTGTAATGAAATTTTAAATTTCTGAATATATATAAATAAAGACTATAGTCAATTGAGTCAAGACTGTAGAATACTGTCAGAAGGCAGACTGTGTAGTTAGAAATGTATAATACACATAATTCATAGAAAATTATAGTACCTAAACAATTTTTTAAAAAAATATTGAGCATATCAAGCCCATGATGCCAACAAACATAATGTTGAAAATGGATAACATACGTATTTAAGCTTTAAAAGGGAGTCAATTTAAAGAAAAATGGTAAGCAATCAATAATAATGGTGAGGAGGTTATGGCATATATTAGAAAAGTAGTGAGAAAATAACTAAGATTTAAGCTTAAGGAAAACTATTAAAATCCAGGCCTTAAGCAAGCAGAATACACATACACCATCCCATGACTGAAACAGAAAGAAACTGAATCCCTGAACAGACCAATAACAAGTTCTGAAATTGAGGCAGTAACAAATAGCCTACCAACCAAAAAAAAAAAAAAGCCCAGGACCAGAGGGATTCACAGCTAATTCTACCAGATGTTCAAAGAAGACCTGGTACCATCTCTACAGAAACTATCCCAAAAATCAAAAAGGAGGGACTTCTCCCTAATTCACTTTCTGAGGCCAGACTCATCCTGATACAAAAACCTGACAGAGACACAACAATAAAAGAAAACTTTCAGCCAATATCCTGGACAAACATTCATGCAAAATCCTCAACAATACACTGGCAAACCAAATCCAGCAGCACATCAAAAAGCTAATCCATCACGATTGAGTAGGTCTGATCCCCAGAATGCAAGGTTGTTTCAACAGAAACAAATCAATAAATGTGATTCATGAAATAAACAGAACTAAACAAAAAAAACCATATGATTATCTCAGTAGATGCAGAAAAGACTTTTGAAAAAATATTCAACATTCCTTCAGTTTAAAAGTTCTCAATAAATATTGAAGGAACATACCTCAAAATAATTACAACCATATATGAGAAGCCAACAGGCAACATCATACTGAATAGCTGAATAGCTGGAAGCATTTCTCTTGAATATAGGCACAAGACAAAAGTGCCCTTTCTCACCACTCCTATTCAACATAGTATTGGAAGTTCTGGCTGGGAAAATCAGACAAAACAAACAAAGGACATTCAAATAGGAAAACAGAAAGTCAAACTATCCTTGTTTGCAAAAGACATGATCCTATACCTAGAAAACCTGATAGTCTCAGCCCAAAAGCTTCTTAAACTGATAAATAACTTCAGAAAAGTCTCAGGATACAAAATCAATGTGCAAAAGTCACTAGCATTTCTATATATAAAAAACAGTCAAGCCAAAAGCCAAACCAGGAACATTGTGCAAATTATTTCATCATCCAGGTTTTAAGCCTTGTACCCATTAGTCATTTTTCCTGAACCTCTCCCTCCTCCAAACCTCCATCCTCAGAAAGGCCCCAGTGTGTGTTGTTCTCCTTTATGCATCCATGTGTTCTCATCATTTAGCTCCTACTCATAAGTGAGAACATGTGGTATTTGGTTTTCTGTTCCTGTGTTAGTTTGATAAGGATAATGGTCTCCAGCTCCATCCATGTCCCTGCAAAAGACATGATCTCGTTCTTTTTTGTGGCTGCATAGTATTCCATAGTGTATATGTACCACATTTTCTTTATACAGTCTATCGTTGATGGACATTTAGGTTGATTCCATGTCATTGCTATTGTAAATCATGCTGTAATGAACATACATGTGCATGTGTCTTTACAGTGGAATGATTTATATTCCTTTGGTTACATACCCAGTAATGGAATTGCTGATTCAAATGGTATTTCTGTCTTTTGGTCTTTTAAGAAATCACCACACTGTCTTCCACAATGGCTGAACTAGTTTACACTCCCACCAACAGTGCATAAGCATTCCCTTTTCTCTACAACCTTGCCAGCATCTGTTATTTTCTTACTTTTTAATAGTAGCCATTCTGACTGGTCTTAGGTGATATCTCAGTGTGGTTTCAATTTGTTTTTCTCTAATGATCAGGGATGTTGAGATTTTTCATGTGATTGTTGGCCTCATGTATGTCTTCTTTTGAAAAGTGTCTGTTCATGTCCATTGCCTACTTTATTATGGGGTTTTTTTTTTCTTGTAAATTGGTTTAAATTCCTTATAGATGCTGGACATTAGACTTTTGTGGGATGCATAGTTCGCAAATATTTTCTCCCATTCTGTAGGCTATTTACTCTGTTGATAGCATCTTTGGCTGTGCAGAAGCTCTTTAGTTTAATTAGATTCCATTTATCAATTTTTTCTTTTGTTGCAATTGCTTTTGGTGTCTCTGTTATGAAATCTTCGTCTGTTCATGTATCCTGAATAGTAATGTCTGTGTTGTCTTCCAGGATTTTTATAGTTTTTGGTTTTACATTTAAGTCTTGAATACATCTTGAGTTAATTTTTGTGTGTGATGTAAGGAAGGGGTCCAGCTTCAATCTTCTGGATATGGCTAGTGAGTTATTTCAGCACCATTTATTGAATATGAATTCCTTTCCCCATTGCTTGTTTTTTTTTCAGTTTGTTAAAGATCAAATAGTTGTAGGCGTGCACTCTTATTTCTGGGTTATCCATTGTGTCCCATTGGTTTATATGTCTATTCTTGTACCAGTACCATGCTGTTTTGATTACTGTAGCCCTGTAGTATAGGTTGAAGTTGGGTAGCATCATGCCTCCAGCTTTGTTCTTTTTGCTTAGGGTTGCCTTGTCTATTCAGACTCTTTGTTGATTCCATATCAATTTTAAAATAGTTTTTTTTCTTGTTTTGTGAAGAATGTCAATGGTAGTTTAATGGGAATAGCATTGAATCCATAAATTGCTTCGGGTAGTATGACTATTTTAACAATATTGATTCTTTCTATCTGTGAGCATTGAATGTGTTTCAATTTGTTTGTGTCATTTCTGATTTCTTTGAGCAGTGGTTTGTAGTTCTCCTTGTGAGACCTTTAACCTCCCTGGTTAGGTGTATTTCTACGTATTTTATTCTTTTTGTGGCAATTGTGAATAGGATTATAAGTATAAGAATGCTTATACACTGTTGGTGGGAGTGTAAACTAGTTCAGCCATTGTGGAAGACAGTGTGGTGATTTCTTAAAAGACCAAAAGACAGAAATACCATTTGAATCAGCAATTCCATTACTGGGTATGTAACCAAAGGAATATAAATCATTCCACTGTAAAGACACATGCACATGTATGGGTATGTAACCAAAGGAATATAAATCATTCCACTGTAAAGACACATGCACATGTATGTTCATTACAGCATGATTTACAATAGCAATGACATGGAATCAACCTAAATGTCCATCAACGATGATAGACTGTATAAAGAAAATGTGGTACATATACACTATGGAATACTATGCAGCCACAAAAAAGAACGAGATCATGTCTTTTGCAGGGACATGGATGGAGCTGGAGACCATTATCCTTATCAAACTAACACAGGAACAGAAAACCAAATACCACATGTTCTCACTTATGAGTAGGAGCTAAATGATGAGAACACATGGATGCATAAAGGAGAACAACACACACTGGGGCCTTTCTGAGGATGGAGGTTTGGAGGAGGGAGAGGTTCAGGAAAAATGATTAATGGGTACAAGGCTTAAAACCTGGATGATGAAATAATTTGTACAACAAGCCCCCTTGACGCAAATGTACCTATGTTCCAAACCTGCACTTGCTCCCCTTAACTTAAAATAAAAGTTAAAAAAAGAATAGAGCAGCATATATATTTCTAACCTAAACTCATCAAAATTTTATAGTAAATAATGAAATATTGGTTATATTTAGACCGTACTTAATGAATCAGTTTTTGAGCTGTGAGGGACCCTAATAATCAAATTGGCAAATGATCTTAATTTGAAGCAAACACTGTACTTTATTTGAGAGAGAGAATTTGAATTTGTATCAGTTTCTAAACATACTTCCTTTTAGTAAGTTCAAATGTTTTATTTAATTTGATGAGGGTCTCTTTTTATTGTCCTAGGTTTTAAGTTACGACTAGATGCCTAGTTAATCTGTGACTCAGACCAAAATATATTTTATCTCTGTCTTTCTCAGAAAGCCAGAAATATCCAAAGTGAACTTACGCAATGCGGTTGTATTCACTCACACAAATAATTAATGTTACCTGTAGAAGTTTGCAGAGCAAGGACTCTAAGCATAAGTCTTCCTCCAGTTTTCCTGCAGACTACCTTTTCTTGGATATGTGTTTCACTGGAGAGAAAAAAGGTGAAAGAGAAAAGTGTTTTTTAATCAGTTTTTTTTTGAATTAAAAGGTTCCAAATAGAACCCAAGGTATTGTTACATGTTTGAGTCTGTCTTGCCATAATGAAACAATATACCAAGGGGAGTTTGCATTTGGCCTGCTCATCTTGCTAAGGCACTGACTTAGAAGTCTAATTATAAAGATTTATTGTCAGTACCAATAGCATTAACTATGACCCCACTGATTCTCCAGCCAAACCGATAAAGAATATATACATATCACCCACATTCCAAAGTATGTATGGATTTTCATCCACCAAGGAGACACTAGCTGTAATACATTGCACACATGCCAGACTGTAGTATTGGGACAGAAATAGGTGGTCACAGAAGAGTGCCAGGATGATGAGGGGTAGTCTAAATCTTATCACATGAGAAACAGTTAAAAGCTATTTCACCTGAAGACGAAGAAGACTTAAGGAGAATATCAGTGCAATTTGTATAAATTTGAAGGGCGATTTGTACTGAAAAATTAGAACTTATTTTGTATGGCTGAAAGAGCAGGATAAAGACTAAGGAGAAAATTTTCATAAGGCAGACTTGAAGTCAACATAAGGAAGAACTCTCTGGCAATAGTAAAATGAGCTGTCTGAGTAAATGTTAAGTTCTCTTTTCCTGGAGAGACTTGAGTCTAGATTGGATGAGTGTTTGTCAGGGATGTTAGAGAGAATGTTAGTGTGAGAGTGGGTTAGATAACCCTTACAGCTTCCCAAAGTCGTTCACTCATTCATTCACTCTTTACACAGATATTTACTAAGCCCCTACTAAGTTCCAGGCACCATTGTAAGCACTAAAGACACAGTGGAGAGTAAGGCTTTTTTTTTTTTTGGTCTAATGAGGTAACATTCTATGAATTCAAACAAATAAATATTTCGTGTAATGTCTGATAGTGAAATTGTTAGAAAGAAAATAAGATCTGTGAATCACATGCTCCTCTGAAATGGAGATCTTTTGATTTAGAGACCAGCACTATGCCCATTAAACTTTTCTTTCCCCAAAGACTTCAGGCCTGGGCTTTGTCAGACCAAATTGGAAAAGAGAAACTAACACTGGTGATTCCCTTTAAAGCATATTACAGGATACTACAGGAGGCTGAATTAATAGTGGGAGATTCACAGTTAGCAAAAAAACATGTTTCTTGACTCCTAAACCAGTAAATTTCTCATTCTTCCTTCCAGAAAAGCATGGCTTTAGTAACCAAAATGTAGACAAGGAAAGCAATATATGCTAGTTAATGCTCTTCAATCACCATTATAAATTATTGTTTCATAGACATTGTGTGGAACTAAGAACAAAACAATTGAGGCATACCTGAGCACGCAGCTGAATGCTACTGTCATATCAACCATAGACAAAATTGTTAAGTAAGCAGCTTTTTGTTTTCTTTGGTGCAGAGATAAGAAAAGGTATCTTTGCCAGTCTTTTCATGTCATACCAACAGCTCTCTTATGTGACAGGTCTCTACATTCATTTTTCACATATCTACCTTAGAAACCATGTTCCAGGTTAGTGAAGGTCCACTATGAAGACAGGGGTAGCAAAATTGCAACCTACAAAATTGGATATAATACAATCAGATATATCTGTACTTGTGACAAGTCTGTACCTGTGATGGCCACCCACCTACCCTGATGCTCAGACAAGATAGAGGTGCTTGAAATGTGAAAATGCAAACAAATGAGAGGACTTTCTCAGGGAGATAAATTATACCAACAGCAAACTGTAAAATGAATTAGAAACAGCCACCCTGCTCTGGCCTAATCAGCAAAAAAGTAAAGCAGAGCCTAAGACCCCTGGTCATCCCCACTCCCCTGGGTATTGGGTCAAAATGAAACATCACTTGATGCAGAAAACAAAACCAAGTCTAGTCAAGTCTAGAGAAGCATTGCTAAAACATGCGATGGAGGGGAGCAGGGGATGGGTAGTAAAACAGATAGATGAATGTTCACAAAGACAAACAAACAAATACAAATGGCAATTTAAAAAGATAATAGTAAATTTTCCAATTCTGATTGAGATAGAGGAATAGGGGCCACATAGAGAGTATTGTCCTGCCTGCCAAACTCTTTGTAAGCATGTAAATCACCCTGAGAACAAGACATTTACAAGTGATGATTTCAGAGGAGGGAAAAGACTGGCCAAGACAAGACAAGGGCTCTTGTCTCCAAGGTGTGCAAGTTGTTTTCAACTCCTAGTTCCTGAGCACTTAGCCAGGGCAACAGTTGCTCACTGTTGACTCCATATTGGTATAGGACAGAAAGCTGGCCTGGGTCCAGGCATTTGACAGAGTCTTTGGTGGTTACTCTCTACAGGGCTGGTCTTCAATTGTGCAATAAGCAAAATGTGATCATCTTTCCTCTCCCCTTCCTTGTTTCCTGTTCAAAGGCCTTTTATCCCTCCTAGTGATTCCTACCTGTTAATCCAGTGCTTTCCCACTGAAGTGCCAGTGACTTCATAGAATGCCCCATCCAGGCACCTGTCTTCAAGGACTTGATGTAAGAGGCTGTATCAATTTCCTAGGGATGCCATAACAAATTACCACAAAATATGTAGCTTCAAAAACAGAAATGTATTCTCTCAAAGTTCTGGAAGCTGAAAGAGTACAATCAAAGTGTCAGCAGGACCATGTTCCCTCTGAAAGCTCTAGGAAAGAATTTTTTTCCCTCTTCTAGCTTCTCATGGCTCCTGGAATTTCTTGGCTTGTCAATGCATCACTCTAATCTCTGCCTTCATCTTCACATGGGCATCTTCTCTGTGTGTGTCTCTTTGTCTTCACATGATCTTCCTATAAGGATACCAGTCTTTGAACTTAGGGCCCATCTTAATCCGGTATGGCCTTATCTTAACTAATTATATCTTCAAAGACCCTATTCCAAGTAAAGTCACATTCTGAGGCTCCAGGTGGACATAAATTTCAAGAGGTCACTATTCAACCCCAGACAGAGACAATGTTTAATGCAAAAGAATATATTTCCTTAGTAAAAGAGAGATATTAAATATAAAATGGCAAATTTCAGACAGTGGAACTGAGGTGAAGGTGACAATTTAGGAGACAGGATAGACATCTGAAGACCCACAGATCCCTTCTAAAGTAGACACATATACCACCAGAGTTGATTTTATTTTTGAAAAAATTAGAATCAAACAAGTTTTAGTTATTCCATAAATGTTAGAATTTTGGAAATATTGAAATTACATTATTCATTTTCACTCCATCGTTAATGAACATTCTCTAATTACAGGGTTTTTCAAGGTACAAAATGCAGTGAAAAAGCTATTCTATGTTGTAACCTTAGAAACTGTCGTATTTTGTGCAGTCGGGCTTTAAAATATTTTGCAAACAGATCTCAAGCAGAACTCCAGTTGTAAAAAACCAACTCTTTTCAGGGGCAAAGTGAGGGGCACTGAAGGCATCAGAGAAATAGGTCCTGGATATATTAATAGACTTGGGTTCAAACTCTCCTATGTGAATTGCACATTGCATTTTGAGCAAGATACTTAAAAAGCAAACTCTGCTAAGTTATATAAGATATGCTGTTTCAGGGCTCTGACTCTACACATCTTTAATCAACAAGTAGGGATAACACTTTGCCCATAATGACTGTTTTTAGAAGGCAATGCATTGTCATGGAAATACCTGGTCTTTGAAGTTAAGTGGGGCTGTCTCTAAATCTGTATCCATCTTTTGCTAGTTTTATCACTGAGGTTAAGTTCCTTGATTGTCCCAAGCCTCATTTCACTTCCATGTATAATAGAAATAATGACACCTATCTCATGTGTTGTTCTGAGGAGCAAATAAGACGTTTGCTTACACTTCTCCAAAGGTATTCAAGAGGGTCCTGACAAGTGTCTTTGAGTCAGCTAGACCAGCCAACTTGTTAAAATACATACAATCTCAAGGCCCTACCTACAGAGATTTTGAATTAGTATGTCTTACCTTGGTCCTGGGAATTTGCTTTTAAGAAAATATCTCATATACCTAATGTAAATGATGAGTTAATGGGTGCAGCACACCAACATGGCACATGTATACATAAGTAAAAAAGCTGCATGTTGTGCACTTGAACCCTAGAACTTAAAGTATAATAAAAAAATTAAAAAAAGAAAATATCTCAGATTATTCTGATGCCACCCTTTGAGGACTAGCATTTGGAAACCCCTGGACACCATTGCTTTTTAAGCATCTTGCTCAAAATGCAATGTGCAATTCACATACAGTACAATGCACAAATCTTCAGTGACTTTTAAGATATGTGTATACCTATGTGACTGCCACTCAGATCAACATATAGATTATTTCCATCACCCACACTGAGAAAAGTTTCTTCTGCTCATTCCTCAGTCAATACTCCCTCATCCCCAGAGGTAACTACTCTTCTGACTTGCAGCACTATTGAGTGGATCTTCCTGTTCTTTTTTTTTTTTTCCAATTTCAGCTTTTATTTTATTTTATGCATGTGCTGTTTTGTTCCATCGAAGTAATACATGATGTTGAAGTTTGGAGTATGGATCCCATCACCAAAATAGTGATCATATACCCAACAGGTAGTTTTTCAACCCACACCTCCCGCCTTTCTTTCCCTCTACCCTCTATTAGTCTACAGTGTGTACTGTTCCTATTTCTATGTTCATGTGTGCTCAATGTTTAACTCCTACTTATAAGTGAGAACATGGGGTATTTGGTTTTCTGCTACTGCCTTAATTCACTTAGGATTATGGCCTCCAGCTAGCTCCATCCATGTTGTCACAAAGGACAGAATTCCATTCTTTTTATGGCTGCATAGTATTCCATGGTGTATATGAACAACATTTTCCTTATCCAATCTACCATTGATGGGCACGGGGTTGGTTACATGTCTCTGCTATTGTGAATAGCACAGCAATGAACATACAAGTCCATGTGTCTTTTTGGTATAATGATCTATTTTCCTTTGGGTACACCCAGTAATGAAATTGCTAGGTCAAATTGTAGCTCTGTTTTAAGTATTTGAGAAATTGCCAAACTGTTATCCACAGTGGCTAGACTAATTTACATTCTCATCAATTGTATATAAGTATTTCCTTTTCTCCATAGTCTCGCTAGCATCTGTTGCTTTTTGACTTTTTCATAATAGCCATTCTGCCAGGTGTGAGATGGTATCTCATTGTGGTTTTTATTTACATTTCCCTGATGGTCAGTGATGCTGAGCATTTTTTCATATGTGTGTAGGTAACTTGTATGTCTTCTTTTGAGAAGTGTGTGTTCATGTCCTTTGCCTGTTTTTAATGGGGTTATTTGTTTTGTGCTGGTTGATTTGCTTAAGTTCCCTATAGATTCCAGATATGCCTTTGTCAGATGCATAGTTTGTGAATATTTTCTCCAATTCTCTAGGTTCTCTGTTTATTCTGTTGATAATTTACTTGCTTTGAAGAAGCTCTTTAGTTTAATTAGGTTCTGCTTGTCTATTTTTGTTTTTGTTGCAATTGCTTTTCATTACTTAGCCAAAAATTATTTGCCAAGGCCAATGTCAAGAAGAGTATTTACTAGATTGTCTTCTAGGATTTTTATAGTTGGAGGTCATACATTTAAATATTTGATCTATTTTGAGTTAATTTTTGTATATGCTGAATATAAGGGTCTGACTTCAGTCTTCTGCATATTGCTAGCCAGTTATCCCAGCACCATTTATTAAATACAGAGTCCTTTCCCCATTGCTTGTTTTGTCAGGCTTTGACTGTTCTTGAACTTCAAATAATGATAACATTTACTCTTTTGTTTCTGGCTGCTTTCATTTGACATTATGTCTTAAAGGGTCATCTATGCAGTTATGTGTATCAGTAGCAACTACAGTAAGTTTTTACTACACATGGAAACATTAAATTTTCAAGCTAAAAGAGACTGTAAAAGTTATATATCAGGGATATTAGAGCTCCGGCTCAAATGTATACAAGGAACCAGGTAGAGAAAGCAAAAGAGTAAAGCAGGTAGTTTTAATGCAACTAGGGAGTGGTAGAACCATAGAAAACTAGAGTTGTTCCCCAGCTAAAGGAAGCAACCAGTATATACTAAGTTCTTGTTGGCTCTTGCTATGTGGGAACATGGGCATAGTATGGCCAGATTTCCCAGCTTTTCAAGAGAAATTGGGAGTATGGATTGTTTTGTGGAATCCCCTGATTTTTAATCAACTTTAAGATAAGTACAGACAGATCAAAACATATCTGCAGGCTACATCGAGCCCATGGGTGATCAGTTTGCAATCTCTGACTAATTTAATCTCTCCACTTTTAGAGACGCATATAAGACTCAGAAAGAAAGGGGCTTATCCATGGTCACACAGAAATTTGAGAGCAGAGTTGAAAGCGGCTTAGCTTAATAGCTTAGAACAGAGAATATGAAGACAGATTTCCTGAGATGAAGTCCCATCACTGCAATTTACCAGCTATGTGACCTCTTGGCACATTATTTAGCCTTTCTGGGCCTCGGTTTTTTTCATCCATGAAATGGAAGGGGAAATGCTTACCTTACAGTGTTGTTGAGAGAACTGAATGAATTAATATATGTAAAGAGCTTAGGATAGTACCTAGTGCAAAGTAAGTGCTATGGAAGTGTTAGCTTTGTTGTTGATGATGATAATGTTGTTATTCCCATAGATAATGCATGGGGACAGTAATATTATTTGTCATTTCTGAGGAGTTAATTTCTTCAGGAAAGATTGCCAATATATGATACTAGGACATTTCTAAATTGTCAGGCTTGATGTAAAAAGGGCATTTAAATGGTTCGTTAATGCAAATTCTACATTAATCAAAATATGTTCAAGTGATTGTCAGCTCAAAAATGAAATGCAAAACTGACAATAGAAGAAACATGTTCAAATCTGTGTCTCTAATATGTGAAAAATATACTTTCTTTTGTGGAAAGTTGGACTTTAGTTCAAGCCAAAAAGAATTTTTATTAAATCTTAAGACATTTTGTACAAACAGTTTGTCAGAGATACAGGTATTTTACTTGGTAACGTAAGAGCTGCAGGAAATACAAACAGTATAATTCTAATACAAATTTTTATTGTATAGTGCTTTGGAATTTTTAAAGTCTCTTTCACAAATATGAAAATCCTAGTTTGTTAGAAATAGAAAGCACTTAGGAGATCTCCCAACATCCCTCATTTTCTAGATGAGGAAACACACCCAGAGAGATTGCTACATGCCCAGAATCACACAGCTAGGCTGTGGCAGAACAAGAATTTGGCTCCTGTAACTAGTCAGAAAATACTAATACAGGAAATAATTAGGTACTAACTGAGAACTACATTCAATGTGGCTGCATTTGCAACATTAGCACAGAATAGATAGAGGGTGAGTGGTGGGCTAAAAATCTCTCAAAAGGTTGCTTGGAAGAGGCAGCTTCTGTGGTAGGCCTAGAAAAAAGGATCAAATTTCTAAAGGTCGAAAGCCAGTCAGAGGGCATAGCCATGTAAAAAAGGTAGGGTGAAAGCGCCATGTGGGTGGCACAATGTAGAGACTAACAAGACTAGTAGTGTATAGGTAAAAGTGAAAGGAAGCATTGCCAGAAAGGGAAGATAGGGCTGCATTCTAGAGGGTTTTGAATACCAAATAAATAAACCTGCACATGAGGCCACAGCCAGGTACTAAGGCTCCTATTTTCCATAAAAGAAATGTGTACTCGTATTTTTAAAATAATTCAACTGCTGCAGAAAAATGTAAATAAAAAGTAAAAGTCTCTTCAATCTCCACTACCCAGAGTCACCATGATTAACAGTTTCTGGTGAAACTTGCCAGAAAAGTCTCTAAGTAGTTCTTTTAAAATCACAATCTTTATTTTTTATACTGTTGTCTACTGCTGTGGCCCTGATGTAGCACAGTGACTGCATTGCATTATAAATGGGTTATACAAATGCTGAAAGCAAAAAGTGCCCATGAGTACTGCCTAGCCTGCTTAAAGAGAACTGGAAAAAAGAAATCACTAAGTTCTCTCTAAAAATTTAGAAAACCAAAATGCCTTTTCACTTTTTGACAAATAATTCATCAGTGTAATCCTTCCCTTTTGCACATGCTGATAGAGTCAGCTCTGCTGGCACCCATAAAGAACATACAAATGTCCCAGGAATCTGATGTGACTCCTCACTAATGATATTTTCTGCTTCAGTCTTTCAGCCAAGAAATAATCAGAAACTAAGAAGGGGCCTCTCTTTCTGTCAGGGGTACACACAAAGAATGCAGTTTTAGATAATCCAGTTCTGCTAAAAAATCAAACAGGGTAGTGACAAGAACAAAATAATTCAGAAATGGAGTGGAAGGAAAGGGGGAAATGGAATTTGGTTATGTAAATATTCTACAGGAAGAGATTGAGATAAAAGAGCTAAACCAAGAGGTCCATGCTGGGGTTAGCATGGGACATCTATGCCTGTTTAATACCTGACTCAAAGGTGAAGGAAAATTTAATCATTCTGAACATGAGGGAAATCACAGCCAGGATTACAGTGTTAAGAAAACATACATTCAAAAGCTCTAGGAAACATTAAAAGAGAAGATCACCTGATAGATCATATTAAAAATCTACCAGGTGTTCCTGGGTGTGAGGGAGTATTAATGGATGCTAGGATCTTAGTAAATTAATAAAATATTTAGAGCAGTTAGAAATTGCCAGAATCACATATTTCTTGACCATGAACATATAAAATATTTGCTTTTTATTGTCATCTTTCTGCTAAAACTCAACTTTCTCTTTGAGTAGCTCTGTATTACATTTTATGTCTATGAACTTACACATTTCCTTCACGTACCCTAGGTTTTATCCAAACTGAACTGTTGCTTCCCCCATTCACAAGCTGAAGTTCCTAATCTCTTTGCTTTTGTTCTCATGATTTCTTTCATTGGAGATTGTATTAGTCTGTTCTGATGCTGCTAATAAAGACATTCCAGAGACTGGATAATTTATAAAGAAAAGAGGTTTAATTGACTCACAGTTCCACATGGCTGGGGAGGCCTCACAATCATGGCAGAAAGCAAGAAGGAGCAAAGTCACATCTTACATGGTGGCAGAGAAGAGAGAACTTGTGCAGGGGAACTCCCCACTATAAAACCATCAGATCTCATGAGACTTATTCACTATCATGAGAACAGCACTGGAAAGACTCACCCCCATGATTCAATTATCTCTGCCCAGGTCCATCCCACGACATGGGGGAGTTATGGGAGCTATAATTCAAAATAAGATTTGGGTGGGGAGACAGCCAAACTGCATCATTCCACCCCAGCCCCTCTCAAATATCATGTCCTTACATTTCAAAACCAATCATGAGTTCCTAACAGTCCCCCAAAGTCTTTAATCATTTCAGTATTAACTCAAAAGTCCATAGTCCAAAGTCTCATCTGAGAGAAGGCAAGTTCCTTCCACCTGCGAGCCCATAAAATCAAAGCCAAGTTAGTTACTTTCTAGATACAGTGGGGGTACAGGCATCGGGTAGATACACCCACTCCAAATGGGAGAAATTGGCCAAAACAAAGGGGCTAGAGGCCCCATACAAGTCTGAAATCCAATAAGGCAGTCATGAAACCATAAAGTTCCAAAATGATCTCCTTTGACTCCATGTTTCAAATCCAGGGCACATTGATGCAAGAGGTGGGCTCCCACAGCCTTGGGTAGCTCCACCCCTGTGACTTTGCATGGCACAGCTCCCCTCCTGGTTGCTTTCATGGCTTGGTGTTGAGGGTCTGTGGCTTTTCCAGGTGTACCATGAAAACTGTTGGTGGATCTACCATTGTGTGGTCTGAGGGATGGTGGCCCTCTTCTCCCAGCTCCACTAGGCAGTCCCCCAGTGGAGACTCTGTGTGGGGGCTCCCACCTCTTATTTCCTTTCCACATTGCCTTAGCAGAGGTTCTTCATGAAGTCTCTGCCCCTACAGCAAACTTTTGCCTGGACATTCACATGTTTCTACACATCTTCTGAAATCTAAGCAGAGGTTCCCAAACCTCTATTCTTGACTTCTGTGTATCCACAGGCTCAACACCATGTGGAAGCTGCCAAGATCAGGGCTTGCACCCTCCAAAGCCACAGCCTGAGCTGTACCTTGGTCCCTTTTAGCCAGGGCTAGAGAAGCTGGGAAGCAGGACACCAGATCCTTAGGCTGCATACAACAGAGGGGCCCTGGCCCAGCCCACAAAACCATGTTTTCCTTCTAGGCCTTGAGGCCTGTGATAGGAGGGCCTTTAGCAAAGGCCTCTAACATGTCCTGGAGATATTTTCCCTATTGTCTTGGTGATTAACATTCAGCTCCTTGTTACTTATGCAAATTTATGCAGCAGGCTTGAATTTCTTCCCAGAAAAATTGGTTTTTCTTTTCTATTGCATCACCAGGCTGCAAATTTTCCAAACTTTTATGCTCTACTTCCTCTTGAATGCTTTGCCGCTTAGAAATTTCTTCTACCAGACACCCTAAATTCTCTCTCTCAAGTTCAAAGTTTCACAGATCTCTAGGGCAGGGGCAAAATTCCACCAGTTTGTTTTCTAAAACATAACAAGCGTCACCTTTAGTTCCCAAAAAGTTCCTCATCTCCATCTAAGACCACCACAGCCTGGACTTTAGTGTCCATATCACTGTCAGCATTTTGGTCAAAGCCATTCAGCAAGTCTCTAGGAAGTTCCAAACTTTCCCAAATCTTCCTGTCTTCTGAGCCCTCCAAGTCTCTAGGAAATTCCAAACATTCCTACATTTTCCTATCTTCTTCTGAGCCTTCTAAACTATTCCAACCTCTGCCTGTTACACAGTTCCAAAGTCGCTTCCACATTTTCAGGTATCTTTACAGCAGCAGAGTTGCTTTTTTTTCTTCATCCATTCTAAATTCACCCTCATACTGGGATGATCAAATCTTACCCTTCTCTCAAATTCAAATTCAAAAGCTCAACTCAAAAGCCACCTCTTCTATTAAGCTTTCCAAAATTTCACCCCTCACTCCTCTCTACCACACCCCACCACATCCACAAGTTTTCTACCTTTGGAGGACTTTATCTTTATCTCTCACATAACATTTAGCACTGAGAGATTTCTGCATATTAATAGGAAAGTACATATTTTTCCTGTTCCACTGGCCTGTAAACTCCTTGAGAAAAAGCTCCAAGAGCATTCATCTTTGTATTCCTCACTCAGCATATGCATCACAAACACATACATCACACCCCCTCACACATACATACACCCACACGTGCATATAGACAACCACAGCACAGTGACTTTAACCACCTGAATACTCAATAAATATTTGAAGAAAGAAGGTGAGAAAGAAGAAATGTAGATTGACATTATGGAAAGCAAAATACAGATAGTCCCTGATTCATGATGGTTCAACACACGATTTTTTGACTTTACAATGATACAAAAGCAATATGCATTCAGTAGAAACCGTACTTCCTATACTCACACAATCATTCTGCTTTTCACTTTCAGTGCAATATTCAATAAATTACATGAGATATTCAACACTTTGTTATAAAACAGGCTTTGTATTAGATGATTTTGCCCAACTGTAGACTAATGTAAGTATTATGAGCACATTTGAGATAGGCTAGGCAAAGTTATGATGTTCCGTAGATTAGGTATGTTAAATGCATTTTCAACTTATGATATTTTCAACTTACAATGGCTTTACCAGGACATAACCCTATTGTAAGTCATAAGATGAGGAGCATCTACATATTGGAGCAATCATATTATGTTGAGTTTATATGGAAAAAATTGAGAAGAATTTTGCTTGAATGCACTAGATAAGCTGACATGAAAATCAATGACAATTCTTTCCACTGTCAATATGATTTTTATCATAAGCTACAACTCAGAAAATGCCTATTATTAAATACTAACATTATTTCTAATCCTCGCAGCAACTCAGTAATTACCCATTGTTATCTCCTATTTTCCAAGTGAGGAAAATGAGTTTCAGAGAATTTAAGCAACTTGGACAAGACCATACAACTAGATACAACTAGCAAACAGCAGAGGTGGGAATTGAAACTAGTCCTGCCTTACTTCAAAGCTTGAGTTCTTTCCATTAGCACATTTTTAAAGCACTTTAACAACTGATATCTTATTTGTAGCACACAGAAAAATGGCCAATTTTGGTATTCTTTCTCCTCAGCACCACAGTCACTCCTACATCTTCCACTTCTACACTCTTACTGTCCTCTTCAGTCCCACTGAGGCTCTACCATCACTCCTTCAGCAGTCTGCAAACCTTTAAAGACCATATCACCCACTATGGACTAATTAAGACCTGTAGAGGTAAGCTTAAACACTTAAAAGATAATGCTTCATTATTTTATCTAATTTTTAAAATGCTAAACTATAAAATTAAATTTTATCTTTCACTGACCAAAATGTACCTATGCTGAGGTTTTAAGCTCCTTTCTAGATTTCCTGATATTATCTTTCCTTCTCCTCGCCTTCTCCCCTACCCTCTCTTTCTCCCCATATCCCTCCCTCTTTTTTTCTCTCTCTCCCTTTCTCCTTCTCTCCATCTGTAGCCCCTCATCTCCCCGCTTCTCCCTCCATCTTGTCTTTCCCCATCTCTCCTGCTTTGCTGGTACCATCAGCTTAAACTTAGTCTGACTTCTGGGTGAGCCAGCATTGGTAGGCCTCAGAGAGTAAGAGGTCCAGGAAGTAGAGGAGAAGGACAGATCTCTACAATAAGTGCATCCCCAGAAGTGGGGTTATAGCAAAGTCCCGCATTCCGTGGTTAGGCTGTGATGGCAGTTTCCTCAGCCCTGGTGAGGAAACTAAGGCACCCTGGTGCCTTCACAAGGATTTAGTGAAATCAGAGCATTAAAATCATTAAGCATATCTGCTGCTAATACTAGGGGCCATATTGGGTCAACTTTATAAGGAAATCAAATATAAGGCCACTGACAAGGTGTAATCTGAAGGACACCAAAATGATATCTCTGACCAAGGGTATCTCTCCTAACAGAAGAGTCTTGAATGGATTGCAGTCTTTCAAAATATCCTATGAAAATGCACACACCCCCAAGAAAGATTTTTTAAAGTCTTACGAGTTAGTATTTCAGTAGGGCCTTACTTTCCCAGTGTGACAGCTGATCAAGCGGAAAAGCCTCCTAAGTATGGGATAAGAAATAAAGTGAGAAGGTTGTAAATTTCGTAAAGGGAGATGAGTGACAAATTTTGACTCCTGTGTGGGATAGACTCTGTTTCCATACCATTACTAGGTCCTCTGGGTCCTGGCCTTATGAGTAAAGAGAATTTTTGGTCAGCCTTCTAACTTCCAGAGAAATTGGGAACTCCTGTTGCCCCAGTGCTATATTATGGGGTGTTGTTGACAATGAAAAGTTTCATTCTGTACTAATCACATTATAGGTTAAATTTAAGAAAGTGTTGCAAGCTATAATGTAACCATAGGAATAATATGTTAAATAAAACACACACCAGGATGGGACTGCCCCCAAGGGGTGACTGGGCCTTGCGCCAGAGACCTGTAGGGTAAACTGTCCCATTGACTGTTTTTCAGAGTGGGAAAAGGGAGGGACAGAAGCTGGAGTTGCTTAAAGATGCAGCCCAGCCAGCTTAGGGGAGGAAGACCCTGGGAGAGACCTAAAACATTTAGTTTGTATATTTGCCGACGAAAGAAAATTATGAGCCAGTGGAATGTACAAAGTAGAACTGCATTGCATTCAACCTTTTCTTTCCTTTTCTCCCTAAGCTAACAATCAGCATATGTAGCTTATTAACATAACTGAGCCTGAATATTTCTTATTAGTGTGTAGTCTTTTTATATCTGTTAAATGAGCATATTTGTCTCTTTTCTCCCTGAAATATTCATTTGCATAGTTAACAAAATCTCATTTACTTAAAATATTTTCATGACCGTTCTAAAGGATCCATACATTCCATCATATTGTAAATGTATGAAGAAGAATTACAGTGTAGGGGAAACATGATGAAAATTTGGATGTGATTACTTTCTTATTCTTACTTTCCTGTTCTCACTTAACTAATTCAGGATGCTGAAACCACTTTAGGCGTTTTGACAAAAGTCTGTGTAGCTGCCTTTTCCACCCAGAAAAGAATAATTCTCTATGTTTAGGCAGTTTGAACTTGTACTTAAGGACGGTGAATTCGGTCTTTGCTGTTTAGTGTAGGGGGCTGGGGAAGGAAAGGTTTCTGTGTTTATACACTGAATAAATATTCCTGTAGGCAAGACACTTTTCAGTGCTTTAGTCCATGAACTTTTTAAACATCTATCTTGGCTGCTTCACAATTCCAGTTTTAATCTTCTAATCTTCCTGCTCAGGTGCCTCCAGTCCTGATTCTAGAGTACTATCTGGAAACTAAACCATCTATATCCCAGCAAGGAAGAATAGATAAAAGTTCCCAAGTGGTGAAAAACCAATGCTGTAAAATCGATGCACTGTAGATTTCTCGGTATGAGACCCCTTTCTCAGCCTCTACACAACTCTAGCATGTTTACCTATTCAGTTTCCCAATTCACAGGTGATTAAAAAGAATAAATTAAAATGAGATTACTGCTGCTACAGCTTATTATTATTATTATTATTATTATTATTAACCTTTATTGGGTGTTATTAGCTGCCAGACACTGTGCTAATCCTTTTTTCACACATTATTTCACTGAATTTTTGACAACCCTATAAAGTCAAATAATATTAATAACTTCATTTTACAGTTTCATAAACTAAAGTTTAGATTCTAACTATCAGAAGGATGAAGTAATTTGCCAAATTTGTATAGGGTAAGTATAGACAGGCATATAGGTATAACATGAAGGGCTATGTTACAACTTGATTGCAAAAGAGTATAAAAATATAAAGGAAAAGAAAATACAAGAAGTCGCAAAACATAGCAATTTGGAAGTTTTTAATTTGAAGACAGACCACTTTATACCTCTCAGTAGCTTTCAGAGGGCAACACTGTGTTACAACAGGGTAAACTAGCTGGTTTGTGTAAGTATGAATCCAAACCATTAAAACTGGATTAAATTATATGCAAAATCATTTCTTAAGAATGGACAAAGAGGTATAACATATGCTATAAATATTTCTCTGATTTTTTTAAATTGAAATACTCTTTATTAAATTTCAACTTGATGTCCAGTATTGAACCTTCAAACTCATTGTTACAGAAATTGCTAAACATTAGGAAAGAGTTTCAATTAATAGTTGTTCCCTAACTAAGCCCGTTACAAATTCAGGTGTTGGAAGTTCTCTTTTCTTTCTGGATAAAATAAATGTTAACTGTGTGTTTTGGCTTCTTGGAGGGCAGGAAGGCTTCAGTTATCTGAAAACTTCACATAAATAGATCACATCATCCCTGATGATGGTGGTATTTTTATATGTGTGGTGTTTCTAGAAAAATAAAACTTTGAAAGGTAAGGAAAGAATAAACTCGATTTGCAAAAGATTTTGTTTTTACTTTCAAAGCTTCTGCATTCGGATTCAGGTAGCCCAGTCTGTCAATTTGCTATGTTTTGGGCCTATTCCATCACTAGGGTTTATCCCATTATGCTGACTAATGCAGAACTGACCATTTGTGAAGGAGACATGGGACTGTGGTTGACATGATGTGTGATTTGAAATGGCCAAATGCAAACCTCAACCCCACTCCTTACTTGGATAAAAATAGTTGCCCCTAAGCCTTGCCTAAAATGGCCACATAGCCCATACCCAAGGCATAACTGTGATCTGGCATGAGAAGAGAAAGTGAGATTCTGAGCAGGGTTACTTCCCAAGAGGCCAGTCTTTAGTGAATGTCCTGAGTGCTACCTGGAGCACCTGATCAGTTCAGGGAAGCATGAGATCTTTGGTCCAGGACATTCAGAAAGAGCCAGGGACTCTGTAAGACTGCTATAAGTACCCACCAACACAATTGGTCTCCCTGACATTTGTACCCTTTTATACCTTTTCTAGATCTGTCTGTGGCAAATTTTCCAAGAAAACATTGCAAGGAAAAACCCTAGGGACTGAATAGGTAGTAAGCAAGGGAAGGGGCTGAGGGTTTGCAGGCTGTTCCCTGAGTGAGAAGTAAACAAATGGCCCAATTTGGACAGAGTAAGAATAGGTTAGATGAGACAGACATAAAAAATCACATCCCAAACCACTGTGGTCATTCAAAAATGTTTGCAACTTTTCACAAGGGCAGTGGTATTACTCACAATTTCCTGGCCAAATATTCATTAAAGTAACCAAGGACTGAGTACATGAAGCTGCTTCACATCAGCACAGCATCCTACTTTCCTTGCAGCTCTGAACTGTGAGGTACTGTCAAAAAACTCTTCCACACTTTAAAAAGCTATGTTACAGAGGAAAGTTGGAATGTGTTCTGGGAGTGGGTGTGTTTGCTTGAGTTCAGTGTGTGCAGAAAAGGCAAGCCTCCACAGCCATTTACACATTTCCCTCCTCAGCAATGGGTACACAGACAGCCAAGCTCCTGGACTAAGTCTCTGAATGGTAACGTACATTTATAAAGATTATTTTCTTAACTATTTTGAGGTATTTTATAAATAATATGCATGTGTCTTCTGAGGGCATATATATATATATATATATATATTTAGTCGACTTTTGCTTGTTTTCTCCTGAGGCTGGTCTTGTGTGGTTACTTATGTGGTATGATTTCTGAGGTGTCAGAAAGAGCTCCCTCCTACTTCCTACCACCCTAGTCACCCAAAAATATCTCTTGGGCTGGCCCACCGCAGAGCCTAAAATTCCCACATTGCTCAAACATTTGATTTAGTCACTGAAAGCAGCTGTTAAAATCCAAATGTTACATTGGGATATTAGGCAGATATTCAAGATTAAAGACTATATAAAACAGAAAATAATATTAAAAAGTTGCTTTTGATATAATGTTAAGTTTCAAAGGATAAATGCAAAATGACATGTGCAGTTTGGGACAGATGCTGTTCTTAAAATGTCGTGGAGTCAGATCCAGCATATATACCCCAGCTCATGAACATAAGCCTATGGTAAAAGAAACCCAGCATTGTTGGGCAGATTTTGTTTTATGTTGAATGTGTGCTTTCCACAGTTTCTGATCCTCAGCTCCCACTCTCTTCGCAGTGTATCTGACACTTCCCCTTACTGAGCTCCGGAGGCTCCTTCTTGCCGAGCTCCGGAGGCTCCCAGTGACCTCTTGATAATCAGCCTTGGCGGGGCCCAAATACCACCCCTTGGAAAACTCACTGAGCCTGACATCTGCCTGTAAGCAGCTTTCAGGAAGGATCTCACAAACACCCACCCAATCTCTCTTGGTAGCAAATTGTCAAATCATACCCATTTCCTCAAAAGATGGTGGAGGACTTAGCAGCCTCCTATATTGTTCTGAAATTGGAGAATGAAATTCGGCAGGCTCAAGTGCAGTGGCTGATGGAAGAAAATGCTGCTCTCCAGGCCCAGATCCCAGAGCTTCAGAAGTCCCAAGCAGCCAAGGAGTATGATCTACTCCGAAAGTCCTCAGAGGCCAAGGAGCCCCAGAAGCTCCCAGAGCACATGAATCCCCCAGCAGCCTGGGAGGCCCAAAAGACCCCAGAGTTCAAGGAACCCCAGAAGCCACCAGAGCCACAGGATCTTCTACCCTGGGAACCCCCAGCAGCCTGGGAACTCCAGGAGGCCCCAGCAGCCCCAGAGTCCCTGGCGCCTCCAGCAACCCGGGAGTCCCAGAAACCTCCAATGGCCCATGAGATCCCAACAGTCTTGGAGGGCCAGGGGCCTGCAAACACCCAGGATGCCACAATAGCCCAAGAGCCCAAGAATTCAGAACCCCAGGATCCCCCAAATATTGAGAAGCCCCAGGAGGCACCAGAATACCAGGAAACTGCAGCACAGCTAGAGTTCCTTGAGCTTCCACCTCCCCAGGAGCCTCTGGAGCCTTCAAATGCCCAGGAATTCCTAGAACTCTCAGCAGCCCAGGAGTCCCTGGAGGGTCTAATAGTTGTGGAGACATCAGCAGCTTCAGAGTTTCCACAGGCCCCTATTGGGTTAGAGGCTACAGATTTCCCCCTGCAATACACTTTAACCTTCAGTGGAGATTCCCAGAAGCTTCCTGAGTTCCTGGTTCAGCTGTATAGTTACATGAGAGTCAGAGGGCACCTGTATCCCACTGAAGCAGCCCTGGTGAGCTTTGTTGGCAATTGCTTCTCAGGTAGGGCAGGATGGTGGTTCCAGCTCTTACTGGATATCCAAAGCCCCTTACTGGAGCAATGTGAAAGTTTCATACCTGTGCTCCAGGATACTTTTGATAATCCAGAAAACATGAAAGATGCCAACCAGTGCATCCATCAACTCTGCCAAGGGGAGGGTCATGTAGCAACCCACTTCCACCTCATTGCTCAAGAGCTGAACTGGGATGAAAGCACTCTCTGGATCCAATTTCAAGAAGGTCTTGCCAGTTCTATACAAGATGAACTGTCTCACACAAGCCCAGCCACCAACCTATCTGATCTCATCACTCAGTGCATCAGCCTGGAAGAGAAGCCTGATCCCAATCCATTAGGGAAAAGTTCCTCTGCAGAGGGAGATGGACCCGAGAGTCCACCAGCTGAAAACCAACCTATGCAGGCTGCAATCAACTGCCCACACATCAGTGAAGCTGAATGGGTCCGTTGGCACAAAGGCCGCTTATGCCTCTACTGTGGTTATCCTGGTCATTTTGCCAGAGATTGCCCTGTCAAGCCTCATCAGGCCCTGCAGGCGGGAAACATCCAGGCCTGCCAGTAAGGGGGACCCCACGTGGGCCAATCTACAAATATGCGTCCCCCTCTCTTCCAATATCCATGTCTCATACACTATGGCTTACTGTTGAAATCCAACTGGGAAGAAGATAATTCTTTGAGCAAGCAATGGTAGATTCAGGCTCCTACAGAAACAGCATTGATCATACTGTGGTTCTTCGAGAGAAGCTGCCCATCCGCAGTAATATCTTCCCTCTGATGCTGGAAACTGTCGACGGCCATCCACTTATTAATGGACCCATAACTAAGGAAACATCACCTGTCCAAGTTCAAATTGGAAACCATGTTGAAGAGCTCCAGTTTGACATTATTCATGCACCACGATACCCTCTGATTATTGGAATCCATTGGCTTGAGACACATGACCCAAACATAGAATGGAGTACCCGCACTGTGTCCTTTCTATCACGTTATTGTCACTACAATTGCTTCAGGCACAGGTGGAATAGAAGAAATCGTGATGAAATAATTTCTGGGTAGATCCTGTGTCCTAGTGACTGTTCCTGGCAACCTGTCTTCTGTTACCTCAGCTGTCATCAGCATTTGCTGCTCCCTGAATCTTCTACTGAACATCTTGCTATGTACTAAGGCTACCTGTACAACGACTCTGCCTCTTAGATGATAGACTGAACCTGATGACTTTGAGCTGCTTTTTTTTTTTTCACTAACTCTGCATGCCTCTATCTCAGAACTCTGCATCCTGCGGAACTGTTTTAATTACAATTATACTAACAATACACATGAGAATAGATATTAGAAACTAATAATGAAAAAGCATAGCTGTTAAACTGACTTGATTTTTTTCTTATCAATATTTTCTATATCACAAAAATGGCAACATCTTTTACATAAAGAAAATAAGTTTGTAAGTGATATTTCTTAAAAGAATCAATAAATATTAGCAATTTCTACTTGTGTTTGAGTTATTTCTTGGCTTAGCTAGAGGAAGAGATAATGAACCAGTAAATTGGGAGGGAGAGAGGGAATTAGAAAATGTTCAATGTTTAGGGAGGCTCCTAAACATTCCGGGTGTAGTGATAGGTCTGCAGATGATGGAGAAATGATGTAGAGGGTAAGATGGAGAGAGTAGGGAATGGTTAGGGCTGAAAGTGAGAGTAGGGAATGGTTAGGGCTGAAAGTAAGTGAGGTATGGAGGGATTAGGGGAAAGGTAGAGGTAAGATTGAGAAGAGGGTTTGGGGGAGATTGGGAGGAGGTTGAAGAGGGTTTAGAGGAGGGTTGGGGTGCTGAGAGGTAGAATCTCCAGGTGAGGTGTGAGGAGTGGTCTAAGCAGAACCTAATGCTTTTCCTCTGTGTTTTCAGCTTTCCCTTAGGAGCCTCTCTCATTGAGGCTGCTAAAAGCGGACTCTTTCCCTCATTTAGACAAATGTAGACAAAATATCAAATAAATGATTATAACCCTAGAAGGTAATAGGGAAGGGGCTTACCATTCATTGGACCACTAATATGTTCAGCTACAATGTCAGACATTTAACACACATTAATCATCTCATTACTCCTCAGAACAATCCAGTGAAGTAGTTTGCTCCTGTTTTAGCAATGAGCAAACAGAATCCAAGCAAGGCTAATTCACTTGCCCAAAGCCACACAGCTAGTAAGTGATGAAGACCTGTTTGGCCTACAAAGCCTTTGCCCTTTCCCCTACAGCATGCCAACCTCCCTAATGCAGTGGTAAGAGCCAAACAAAATTATGGCAGCAGAGACCTAAGTGGGTCCCTTAAGTTTTCCCCTAAAACTGAGGGGAAAACTCAAAACAAAAACTTCTAAAGAGTTTGGCTAATAGTTCCATGTCCTATGCTTTGGTACTACTTCCACTTCCCTGGTTCTCTTATTCTACTGCTAACCCTGTCATCACCCACCAAACTCCCTTTTTCATTTCTTGGAAATTTTTCTTTTGTATACCTAATGTCTCAGACCTCTTTCAGATTCCAAGGTGTTTTTAATGAGAGTTGGGAGTCCAGAACAGTTATCTACAGGACCTGTACATTACATAGCAGCACCACCCCTTGGACTGTCTACCTAGCCACTTCCATAACCC
The DNA here is from genome assembly GCF_000001405.40 of Homo sapiens. Classification (NCBI taxonomy): domain Eukaryota; kingdom Metazoa; phylum Chordata; class Mammalia; order Primates; family Hominidae; genus Homo; species Homo sapiens. The sequence goes on along the minus strand of NC_000023.11, from coordinate 78,654,921 downwards.
ATCCAAATCCTCTGCAGCCTTAAATTCCACCTCTCCTAGTCCTCACTGGCCTTCCCTTCCTTTCCTGAACAGTCAAATGTACTTCGGCACTACAATTGCTTTGTGATACGTGGGGGTTCTTTCCCTAGGTACATGTCCTGTATTCCCCCACTTCCACCCACACACATACATACTTAGCTTGGGTGAAGGAACAGAATGATCTACATCCCTACCCTGGACAGTTAAGTGTAACACAGTGTCTTATACATAAAAAGTTTGACATAGTGACTGATTCGATGACATTTTATTATCAGAGAAAGGGGCTTATTTGTATACTATATACAGGCCCTTCTTGCATTTTCTCCTACTCAGTTGCTCATCTTTATTCCTAAAACCAAACACTATTTGTCAATGTGGAATTAAAGAGAGAAAAAAAAAACTTTAAGCAACCATAAAGAAAAAATGCCTCTTATTGGCCAAATTACCCTGGACCTAGGAAGATCAACTGTGCTTGGTTTCCCTGGGACTGAGAGGAGTCATGGGACATAGGGCTTTCTGCACCAAAACTGGGACAGTGCTAGACAAACTGAGACGGTTGGTCAACCTACCTGGACTCTATATTTTTCTATCTGGCTACAGAGGCTTATTTAATTAGAGTACAATTCTTTATTTTACAAACGGGAATAATTATCTAATCACAGAATCACAGATGCTGTATGTTGAAAAAGACTCAATAAGCTCTCGTCTTAATTTTACAGATTAATGAGCTGAGGACCAGAGAAAGGAAAGTCACTTAACAAAGCTCAGTGTACCTCTACCTATTGTTTTTAAATCCTTTGCTCTCTTTTCACCGTGATCCACAATTCTAACCCAAGAGTTAAAAATCAAGTCTGTGGCTACCATTCAGTCAGGTACTGTGGACAGTATTTAAAGTATAACATGAGAGGTTTAAATGTGGTCAAGAACAAAAAAATTAGCAGGCGTTACACAGCTAGCATAGATAGCCAAATGCTAAGTTATGTGATGGCAACAAATATACTAAACTGAAACATACCAGCTAATGAGACTAATAAAAATTTCCATTTAGTGAGCACTTGCTCTTTGCCAGATATTGTGTTGGGCCATTTAGGTCTTTTCAACTGTCTGCAAAGTAAATATTGTTAGCCCCATTACACAAATCAAATGATTGAAGTCCACTGAAGTGAGGTTACTTGCCAGAGGTCACACTGCTAGGAATTGATGGATTCTAAAAACAAACTCTGATCTGTCTCATTCCAAAGCTGGAGTGTCATCCAACGTACCACACTGCTCCTCAGTATGAACGACCTTTACTCTATTAACCACCTTAATAATATTGATTCACTAAACATGAGTGCTAGTACCCTAGAAAAGATTTTAATTTATTAAATTAATCATTACTTTACTCACTCAACAAGCATTTATGGAATGCCTTCTATGCATCAGAGACAGGCAGGAGAGAAGAGGAGGGAAAAGAGAGAGACAGAAAAGGAAAAATATAACTAAAGCATGACTCATTGTTTTTGCTCTGACCACAATTTAAAAGGGGAAGCCGTTGGGTAGTGCAGCACTGTGACATACAAAGGAGAGAACACTAATTCTGCTTGAACTGAAGTGGTGCATTTTGAGCTGGTTCCTGGAGAAACCTCATTGGAAGCAAGAGGAAAGGCAGGGCTTCCTAGGTTTAGTATGGTGCAAACAAAAAATCAAGCTGGAGGGAAAAAGCAAGGTGTCTTCAGAAATGATAGTTCTATGTCACTGGAGAGTAAAGATGTGTGTGTGTGTGTGTGTGTGTGTGTGTGTGTGTAGGGTGGAGGTGGGGAGATGAAGCTTTAGGTTAAAGACATTATCTATTAATAGCTAAGGAGTTTAAACTTTATCCTGTGAGTGATTTAGACTAAGATATTTGTTTTTCTTTCTTTTTTTCTGTTGTAGATATGATTGTATTTTTCTCTTCTGCTATGAAATACTGCATACTTATTCCAACAAATTCATATGTATCAGGACTTTATAACATAAAAATTGAAGGTTGGCCCCTTTCTCTTTCCCCATCTCACAAACTCAGAGTAGGAAAGAAACATGATTACTTTGTATTTTAATAATTTTATGAGAATATCGAAAATGATAAAAAAGTAAGCGATAAAGTGTGCCTATTCTTTTTATCTTCTTAGATTTGATGAAGTTGAGTTCAAACCATCAAAAGCGAAATATTAAAAGTAAATTAAGCTCAACTTTCATCAAGTATTTATTTTGAGGGCTTACTGTAAGCAAGGCACTGAAGTACACATAAACATATGCAGGACAATATTCCTACCATCAATGATTTCACAATCTAGTAATGGACAAAGGATCATGAATAATAAGAGACTACCATTTCATTTGGGCCTCATCAGTTTCAAACACTTTAAAGAGTCTCTAAATGAAGTTGTTTTTAAAAAATAAATATTTTGTAATATTTGGCACAGATGAAAACAGTCCCCTCTTTAGCTAACTTTTCTAAGTTGACAATTTAAGAAGAAAATGATGTCTATGTATTTTTGTACTCTCCCTTTCTGGTTTGCTTTTTTAAACAAATATTTTGTAGTTTATGATATTAAAGTGTGCCTGGAATATTTATGGTCAGTCTGTAGAAGGATTTACATGTATTTCAGTTCATAAAGTACCTGTATAAGTCTGTTTTTAAAAGGTTTTGTAGGAATAGATAATTTTTAAAATTCTTAATGCAGTAAATTTTGATATCTAACATTCTACAAGATATCAAATATTGAATGACAAGAACAATATAGGGATCAAAGTACTAGGGATCAAGATATTAAGATTAAACTCCTAGGTTTGCCACTTACTAGCTGTACAACCTATTTCATTTAATAAATGAGGATAATAATATTTGCTTTCTCTACCCAGCAAAGTTCACAAAAGCATCAAATGAGAAAACTCATGATAAAAAGCATTTTGAAAATTGACAATGCTGTATAAATAAGAGATATCATTATAATAACCGATCTTTGTTAAAGTGACCACAAGCATCTTGAAAATACCAAAATGCCTGTTTAAATTTATTTCAACTCCACAGAAATCTATACCTAGTAAATACCTCCTATATGTCAGGTACTCTTTATTGTCAATCAAAGCAAGATTCAATTAGGATTTATATAATTATCATATTGAGTAGTTTTTTAGTATTCCTACAGTCAAAGCCCTGGCACATATAACAGCAGTCTCCCAGAATACTTTACGATCTAAAATGCCAATTTCTTATTGGGGCATGACAACTAGATGTTAACTTACTCTAATTGGTCTGAACTTGTTGTTTTTTTTTTTAAATCTATTTAGCACAACATAGAGAAAACATGTCAGCACAGACTAATTTGTGTGTTCCCATCAATAAAAATAACTTTAAAAATTAAAACTCACAGTTATCTTTTTCATTTATAGTTTTCTAAGTAAAAATAATTGAAAGTTAAAAGGTCAAACCATACTGGCCTCTAAATAAATCACAATGTCTGCAGGGAACAATTGCCATCATCATTTAACATGACTAACAAGATCTCACCTCGGTTATTATTTTGCCTCAAAGCGATTCAGATGTGTGAGAAAGTTTGGTGAAGGGTTTTAGTCTCGAGAATGTGGAACATATTCAAACTAGGTCTGTAGAGAAGTGGGGGAGGGTAACAAATGCCAACAGTAGTCAACTAAATGCATTTGACTTGGCTCAAATGTACTATTATGTATTCCAATACAGATGAAAATGGAATACGGCACAGAAACAGAACGGCCATGTGTGCACAAGACATCTGGCAACCTAAATTTCACTTAAGTAAAAGAAAGCATGAAATTTTGTAACCACAAAGAGCAGAATGCCTGAAATGCTATAGCTCAGTTCACTGCTTTTCTTAGTCTTTCACATTGCATTTTTCCTGTCAGTTACACCACAGATACCACATAATAGTCTGCAAGTGAATCAACTGCACTACCAGTGAAGTTCTGATTATTAGAAGAAAAGCTGGCTGAACACCAGTAAATTAAAGGAATTCCCAAACAGCTAAATACCAAATATTATCCTTAAAGTTTCTAATTAAAAATTGCAATAAGAAGCATTTCTCCTCACTGATTTTCCATAAGGGGGAAAAAGAGTGGGTCAGAAAGCCTTACACTCATTTAATAACTGTGAAAAGCCTTTTTTGAACAATAAAGATACTATTTTACAGAGGAAGAATGGACAGACAGACAAGAGCTAAGTAACTTTAATCAGACTACATGATGAAGTCCAGTGAAGAGCAGAGGAACAATCAGGATTCCTAGATTTTAGTTTTAGTTTTTAACTTGCCCTATGACCTTGGATTAGTTAATTGATCTCTTTTCTGAAGCTCAGTTTCTTTACAGGAAAACTTATGATAGTAATGTCCATGCTGTTTACCTTTATAAAATATTGCAGAGAATCATTTATTCAGTGAACATTTGTTAAATTCCAATTATATGCCAGACACTGGGATAAGCTCAAATGAGATAACAAATATGAAAACAGCAACCCCAGATATAAGTGAGAATATTATTATTGCTCTAAAGGCTACCTAACACTCCAAAGGAATGTAGCTTTTGCAGAGAGAATAAATAAACCGAGACTTCAATATGACATTTCCTTTTGTATTTTGTATTCTAAGAAATTTTGATTATTACCTCATAGCTGTCTAACCTATAAAAATTAACAGAATTACATAAGATTTTTTTCCTCCCTACCAGATGTGCAAGCTCTCAGGTTGGTTATCATTTAAAAGAACGCAGACATGTACACTGCATAGCAACTATCATTGTTACTACTAGGTCTGTTCAGTCTTTTTTTTTTTTTTTTTTTTTTTTGCGTACTCATAAATAAGAGAAAAGGGACCTAACAGGTAGTGAGCACCTATTGTTGGCCACACTCTGCTGGGTAATTTACCTATAAAATCTCATTTAATCCTAACAAACATTTAGCATGGTATATATTATTCTTCCCATTTTATAGATCCAGAAGCTCAGTCTTAGGGACATGAAAGTCACTCAAGAAGGACTGGTGAAATCCTAAGACAAACTCAGGTTTGTCTCTCTCAAATCCTATGCTTTTCCTAGCTCTTAGAAAGAATACTGGAGCTGGAATGGCCTATGTTTACAGATAGAAACACTGCAATCCAAAGAAGTCAGATTCTCCACACAGGCCACACAGCAAGTTAGTGGCAGAACCAAACCTAGAATGCATGTCTTTTGTTTTCTGGTCTAAAGTATTTTCCCATTAAATTTCACTAAATTAATATTGTGTCAACTTAAACATATTAACCAAATATAAATAAGAAGTTAAGTAGTATTATCCTTAAAGTTTCTAATTAAAAATTGTTTTGCACAGAAACAAAATTTAAAAGGAAAACACAATTTTTATATATAAACCAAATTTAAAAGGAAAACAATATTTTATGTATGAATGAAGTTTTTCATTTTTATTTATATTTCAGTTCAGCTAGTAGTTTCCTGCTTTTCTTTGTGTATATATATATATATATTTTTTTTTTCAATAAGGTTTTGGGGAACAGGTGGTGTTTGCTTACATGAATAAGTTCTTTAGTTGTGATTTCTGAGATTTTGGTGCACCCATCACCCAAACAGTGTACACTGTGCCCAGTGGGTAGTCTTTTATCCTTCACCACCCTCTCACCCTTCCCCCTGAGTCCCCAAAGTCTATTGTGTCATTCTTAAGCATTTGTGTCCTCATAGCTTAGATCGCACTTGTAACTGAGAACATACGATGTTTGGTTTTCCATTCCTGAGTTACTTCACTTACAATAACGGTCTCCAACTCCATCAGGTTGCTGTGAATGTCATTGTTTCATTCTTTTTTATGGCTGAGTAGTATTCCATGGCACACACACACACACACACACACACACACACACACACACACAGATAGATGATAGATAGATAGATAGATGATTGATAGATAGATAGATAGATAGATAGATACATAGATAGATAGATAATCACATTTTCTTTAACCACTTGTTGATTGATGGGCATTTGAACTGGTTCTATATTTTTGCAATTGCGAATTGTGCTGCTACAAACATGCATGTGCAAGTGTATTTTTCATATAATAACTTATTTTTCTCTGGTTAGATACCCAGCAGTGGGATTGCTGGTTCAAATTGTAGGTCTACATTTTGTTCTTTAAAGAATCTCCATACAGTTTTCCATACTGGTTGCACTAGTTTACATTCCCACTAGCAATGCAAAAGTGTTCCTTTTTCACCACATCCATGCCAACATCTATTAATTTTTTTATTTTTAAAATATGCCCATTCATCCGGGAGTATAGTGATATTGCACTGTGGTTTTCATTTGCATTTCCCTGATCATTAGTGATGTTGAGCATTTTTTCACGTTTGTTGGCCATTTGTATATCTTCTTTTGAGAATTTTCTGTTCATGTCCTTAATCCACTTTTTGATGGAATTGTTTGTTTTTTTTCTTGCTGATTTGTTTGAGTTCCTTGTTTATTCTGGATATTAGACCTTTGTTGGATGCATAGTTTGTGAAGATTTTTCTTTTTCTGTGGGTTGTCTGTTTACTCTGCTGATTATTTCTTTTGCCGGGCGGAAGCTTTTTAGTTTAAATCCGATATATTTATCTTTGTTTTTGTTGCATTTGCATTTGGGTTCTTGGTCATGAAGTCCTGCCTAAGCCAATGTCTAGAAGGGCTTTGCCAATGTTATCTTCCAGAATTTTTATGGTTTCAGGTCTTAGATTTAAGTCTTTGATTCATCTTGAGTTGATTTTTGCATAAGGTGAGAGATGAGGATCCAGTTTCATTCTCCTACATGTGGCTTGCCAATTATCCAAGCACCATTTGTTGAATAGGGTGTCCTTTCCCCACTTTATGTTTTTGTTTGCTTTGTCAAAGATCAGTTGGCTGTAATTATTTGGCTTCATCTCTGGGCTATTTATTCTGTTCCATAGGTCTATATGCCCAATTTATACCAATACCATGCTCTTTTGGTAACTATGGTCTTATAATATAGTTTGATATCTCCAGCTTAATTTTTTTGCTTAGTCTTGTTTGACTATGCAGACTCTTTTTTGGTATCATATCAATTTGGGGATTGTTTTTTCTAGTTCTATGAATAATGATGGGGGTATTTTGATGGGAATTGCATTGAATGTGTACATTGCTTTTAGCAGTGTGGCTATTTTCACAATATTGATTCTAACCATCCATGAGCATGTTCTGTGTTTCCATTTGTTTGTGTCATATATGATTTATTGCAGGAGTATTTTGTAGTTTTCTTTCTAGAGGTCTTTCACCTCTTTAGTTTCACATATTCCTAAGGTTTTGTTGTTGTTGTTGTTGTTTGCAGCTATCATAAAAGGGGTTGAGTTCTTGATTCGATTCTCAGCTTGGTCATTGTTGGTGTATAGCAGGGCTACTGATTTCTGTATATTAATTTTGTGTCCTGAAATTTTGTTGAATTCATTTACCAGTTCTAGGAGGTTTTTGGAGGAGTCTTTAGGGTTTTCTAGGTATACAATCATGTCATCAGCAAACAGCAATAATGTGACTTCCTCTTTACCAATTTGGATGCCTTATTTCTTTCTCTTGTCTGATTGCTCTGTCTAGAACTGCCAGTATTACATTGAATAGAAGTGGTGAAAGTGGGCATCCTTGTCTTTTTCCATTTCTCAGGAAGAATGCTTTCAATTTTTCTCCATTCAGTATAATGTTGACTGTGGGTCTGTCATAGATGGCTTTTATTACGTTAAGGTATGTCCCTTCTATGCTAATTTTGCTTAGGGTTTTAATCATAAAAAAATGCAGGATTTTGCCAAATACTTTTTCTGCATCTATTGAGATGATCATGTGATTTTTGTTTTTAATTCTGTTAATGTGATATATCACATTTACTGACATAAATGTTAAACCATCTCTGCATCACTGTTATGAACCCACTTAATAATGGTGGGATTATCGTTTTGCTATGCTGTTGAATTCAGTTAGCTAGTATTTTGTTGAGGATTTTTGCATCTATATTCATCAGGGATATTGTTCTGTAGGTTTCTTTTTTGGTTATGTAGTTTCCTGGTTTGGGTATTAGAGTGATACTGGTTTCATAGAATGACTTAGGAAGGATTTCCTCTTCCTCTATCTTTTGGAATAGTATCAATAGGATTGGCACAAATTCTTCTTTGAATGTCTGAGAGAATTTAGCTGTGAATCTATCTGGTCCTCGACTTTTTTTCCCTGTTGGTAACTTTTTAATTACCATTTCAATCTCTCTGCTTGTCATTGGTCTGTTCAGAGTTTCTACTTCTTCCTGGTTTAATCTAGGAGGGTTGTATATTTCCAGGAATTTATTCTTCTACTATAGGTTTTCTGGTTTATGCACATAAAGGTGGTCATAGTAGCCTTGAATGATCTTTTGTATTTCTGTGGTATTGGTTGTAATATCACCTGTTTCATTTCTAATTGAGTTTATTCGGATCCTCTCTTTTTTTCTTGGTTAATCTCTCTAATGGTGTCTCAATTTTATCTTTTCAAAGAACTAACTTTTGTTTCATTTATCTTTTGTATTTTTTTTTGTTCAATTTCATTTAGTTCTGCTCTGATCTTTGTTATTTCTTTTCTTTGGCTGGGTTTGGGTTTGTTTGTTCTTGTTTCTCTAGTTCCTTGAGGTGTGACCTTAGATTGTCTATTTGGGCTCTTTCCGACTTTTTGATGTAGACATTTAATGCTATGAACTTTCTTCTTAGCACTGCCCTTGCTGTATCCCAGAGGTTTTAATAGCTTTTTCACTATTATGGTTCAGTTCAAATAATTTTTTAATTTCCATCTTGATTTCATTGTTGACCCAACAATCATTGAGGAGCAGATTATTTAAGTTCCATGTATTTGCATGATTTTGAGAGTTACTTTTGAAGTTGATTTCCAATTTTATTCAATTGTGATCTGAGAGAGTACTTGACATAATTTTGATTTTCTTATATTTATTGAGACTTGTTTTATAACCTATTATATGGTCAATCTTGAAGAATGGTCAATGTGTTAATGAATAGAATGTATATTCTGCAGTTGTTGGGTAGAATGTTCTGTAAATATTTTTGAGTCCATTTGTTCTAGGGTATAATTTAAGTCTATTGTTTGTTTGTTGACTTTCTGTCTTGATGACCTGTCCAATGCTGTCAGGGGAGTATTGAAGCCCCCCATTATTATTGTGTTGCTATCTCATTTCTTAGGTGTAGTAGTAATTGTTTGATAAATTTATGAGTTCTAGTGTTAGGTGCATATATATACACACACACACACACACACACACACACACACACACACGATTGTGATTTTTTCTCTTGGACTAGTCTTTTTATCATTATATAGTATCCCTGTTTGTTTTTTATTACTGCTGTTGCTTTAAAGTTTCTTTGGTCTGATGTAAGAATAGCTATTCCTGCTTGCTTTTGGTGTCCATTTTCACAGAATATCTTTTTCCACTCCCTTAATATAGGTTTGTATGAGTCCTTATGTGTCAGGTGAGGAAGACAGCAGATACTTATTTGCTGAATTCTTATCCATTATGCCATTCTGCATCTTTTAAGTAGGGCATTTAGTTCATTTACATTCAATGTTAGTATTGAAATGTGAGGTACTATTCTATTCATTGTGCTAGTTGTTATCTGAGTACCTTTTTTTGTGTGTGTGTGTGTGTGGTGTTATAGGTCCTGTGAGATTTATGCTTTAAAAAGATTCTGTTTTGGTGTATTTTGAGGATTTTTTTTCAAGTTTTAGAGCTCCTTTTAGGAGTTCTTGTAGAACTGGCTTGGAAGTGGCAAATCCTCTCAGGACTTATTTCTCTGAAAAAGACTATCTTTCCTTCATTTATGAAGCTTTATTTCACTGGATACAAAATTATTGGCTGATTATTGTTTTCTTTAAGGAGGCAAAAGGTAGGACCCAAATCCCTTCTTGCTTGTAGGGTTTGTGCTGAGCAATCTACTGATAAACTAATAGGTGTTCTTTTATAGGTTATTTGATACTTTTGCCTCACAGCTCTTAGGACGCTTTTCTTTGTCTTCGCTTTAGATAATCTGATGACTATGTGCCTAGGAGATGATCTTTTATGGGATAAACTTTCCAGGCGTTCTTTGAGCTTCTTATATTTGAATGTCTAGATATCTAGCAAGGCTCGGGAAATTTTCCTTGATTACTCCCTTAAATATGTTTTCCAAACTTTTAGATTTCTCTTCTTCCATGGGAACACCAATTATTCTCAGGTTTGATCATTTAACATAATCCCAAACTTCTTGGAGGCTTTGTTTACTTATTTTTTATTCTTTTTTCTTTGTCTTTGTTGGATTGGGTTAATTCAAAAGCCTTGTTTTTGAGCTCTGAAGTTCTTTCTTCTACTTGTTCAATTCTATTGTTCAGACCTTCCAGTGCATTTTGCATTTCTCTAAGTGTGTCCTTCATTTCGAGAAGTTGTAATTGTTTTTTATTTATCTATTTCACTGGAGATTTCTCCATTCATATCCTGTATCCTTTTTTTATTTCTTTCAATTGAACTTTACCTTTCTCTGGTGCCTCCTTGATTAGCATAATTGACCTTCTGAACTCCTTTTCTGGCAATTCAGGGATTTCGTCTTAGTTTCGATCAATTGCTGGTAAGCTAGTGTGATTTTTTTGAGGGTGTTAAAGAACCTTATTTTGTCATCACATTACCACAATTACCAGAAATCTTTTTCTGTTTCCTTCTCATTTGGGTAGACTATGTCAAAGGAAAGATCTAGTGCTCAAGGGCTGATGTTCAGGTTATTTTGTCCCACAGGGTGCTCCCTTGATGTGGTTCTCTCCTCTTTTCCCTTGATGTGGCTCTCTCCTCACTACAGTGTGGCTTCCTAAGAGCCACACTGTAGTGATTATTATTCTTTTCTTGATCTAGGCACCCAGTGGGGCTACCAGGTTCTGGGCTGGTACTGGGGAGTGTCTTTAAAGGGTCCTGAGATGTGATCTGTCTTCAGGTCTTTCAGCCATGGATACCAACACCCGCTCCAGTGGAGGTAGCAAGGGAGTGAAGTGACTCTGTGAGGGTCTTTGGTTGTATTTTTATTAAGTGCACTGGTTTTATATTGGTTGGCCTCTAGCCAGGATGTGGCACTTTCAAGAGTGCATGATCTATGGTAGTATAGGTACCAGGTGGTGGGCAGGCCATAGAGCTTCCAAAAGATTATGTCCTTTGTCTTCAGCTACCAGGTAGGAAGAGTAAGACAATCAGGTATGGGAAGGTTAGGCATGTCTGAGCTCAGATTCTCCCTGGGTGGGGCTTGCTGTGGCTGCTGTGGGGGATGGGAGTGTGGCTCCCAGGCTAATGGAGTTGTGTTCCCAGGGGGACTATGGCTGCCTCTGCTGTGTCACACAGGTCACCAGGGAAGTGGGGGAAAGCTAGCAGCCACAGGCCTCATCCAGCTCCCATGCAGCCCACAGTCTGAAAGGCCACTCTCACTCCCACCATGCCCACCCCCACCAGTAAACTGAGTTTATTTCCAGGCTGCTGGTGAGCAGGGCTGAGAACTTGCTCCAGGCTACAAGCCTTCCAGCTGAGAAAGCAAGCAGACTCACAGTTCCTCAGCTGTCCCACAGAGCCTGCAGCAGCAATCCACCTCCTTCAAAGGGTCTGTGGATTCCCTCAGCTTTCCTGGTATTTCCTGCAGTAGTTCTTGGAGCAAAGTTCACAATGTGAGTCTCCACATGCTACTGGATTTGTCTGAGTGGGAGCTACAAGTTAGTCCTGCCTCCTACCCGCCATTTGTTTCCTCTTCTGCCTTTCTTAAAAGGTTTTATAAACTGATTTATTAGTTTTTTAAGAGAAATAAAAAGCATTGTCAAAAAATGCAATTTAAAGACATGCCACACAACATGAACTGCCAATTAGACATAAAAGGCAACTATACTACATCCAACAACAATAGAATACACATTCTTCAAGCAAACATAGAACATTCTCCAGAATAAACCATATGCTACATCATAAAATATGAAACAATAAATTTAAAAATATTGAAATCATAATTCATGTGTTTTCTGGCCATAATAAAATGAAATTAGAAATCAATAAGAGAAGAATATTAGGAAATTTCATAAACATGTGGAAATTAAACAACATTCTCCTAAATAATCAATGCATCAAGAAGAAATCAAGAGGGAAATTAAAAAACTCTTTCAGGTGAAGAAAATGTAATACATATCGTAACAAAACTTAAGAGATGCAACAAAAATAGTCATTAGAGAGAAATTTATGGCTGGGATAGCTTATATTATTTTTAAAAGCTTGTATTATTTTAATACAAACTAAACTCTACCAGGCAGAAGGAAGGACACAACAATTAGAGCAGAAATTAATTAACACAGAACAGAAAAACAATAGAGAAAATTAATAAATCCAAAATTTGGTTATTTGAAAAGATCAAATTAGTGATCTTTTAAATAGACTGAACAAGAAAAAAGAACACTCAAATAATTAAAATCTGGAATGAAAGGGGGCATTACTATTGACTTTATAGCAATAAAAAGTATTGTAGGAGAATGAAAAATTGCATGCCAATGATTAGATAACCTAGATGAAAAGCACAAATTCCTAGAAAGACATAAACTACTGGAACAGATTCAAGAAGATATTAAAAATCTGAATAGATTTCTACTATAATAAGCAGAGAGGTTGAATTGTGAATTTTAAAACTTACCACAAAGGAAAGCCAAGTACCAGATGACTCCACTGCTGAATTCTACCCAAACATTTAAAGAAGAATTAAGGCCATTCTACAAAAAGTCTTTTAAAAAGTTAGAGAAAAGGCAGCACTGTTCAACTCATTTTATGACAGTCTTAAACTCATATCCAAACCACATGAACATATAAAAAGAAAACTATAGACTAATATCCCTTATCAATATAGATGCAAAAATTTTCAATAAAATACTAGTAACCCTAATCCAGCAACATATAAAAAGGATTATGCTACACAATTTAGTGAGACTTATCCCAGGAAGGCAGGACCATTTCAACAGCTGAAAATCAATAAACATGATACATTATACTAATAGAATAAAGAACAAACACTGCATAGTTCTCTCAGTAGATAAAGAATTAGTATTTGACAAAATCCAGCAACTTTTAATGATAAAACAGCCAACATACTAAAAACTACAAGGGAACGTCATCAAGATTATAAAAGGCATCTATAAAAATTCCACAGTAATCATCACACTTAATGGTGAAAAACTAAATGATTTCCCTCTAAGAACAGGCAGCAAACAACAATATTTTCTCTCATCACTTCTATTCAACATCGTAGTGGAGGTTTGAGAAAGAGAAATGAGATAAGAAAATAAAATAAAAGCATCAATATTAGAAAGGAAGAAGTAAAACTGGCTCTAGATGACATGAACTTTTGTATATAGAAAATCCTATGGAATGCAATAAATGTATTAGAATTAATAAATGAGCTCAACAAGGTTGGAGGATACATAGTCAATATAAAAAATCAGCTATAATTTTACACACTGGCAATAAATATTTCTAAAATTAAGAAAATGTTCTTATATATGTAATAGCAGGAAAAATATCTAGGAATAAATTTAATGAAATAAATGCAAGATCTGTATGCTGAAAACTACAAACCATGGTTGAAAGATATTTTAAAATGCTGAAATAAATAAAAAGACATACAACATACATAGATCACAGCACTTAATATTGTTAAGATGAAAATATTCTCCAAATTGATCGATAAGTTCAACACAGTCTTATATAATAAAAGGATCCCAGATGTCTTCTTTGCAGAAATTAACAAACTTATTCTAAAATGTATATGGAAATGCAAGGGAGCCAGAAGAGCCAAAATCATTTTGAAAAAGAAGAACAAATTTGAAGAACTTACAATTCATGATTTCAGATGTCAAGACAGTATAGTCCTGGCATAGGATAAACATATAGATCAATGAAACTGCATTGAGAACCCAGAAGTAAACCCTTATATTCATGGTTAATTGATTTAAACAAGAGTACCAACACAGTTGATTGGGGAAAGAAAAGTCTTCAACAAATGGTACTGGGACAATTGACTATCCACATGAAAAAGAATGAAGTTGGACCCCTACCCAAACCATGCATAAAACTAACTCAAAATATATTGAAGACCTAAATATATGAGCTAAACTGTAACACTGTTAGAAGAAAATATGAGTAAACTTTTATGATGATGAGTTAGGTAATGGTTTCTTTGAGACTACACCAAAAACATAAGGAACAAAGTAAAACAAAGGAGAAATTTGTCTGCATCAACATTGAACATTTTGTGTTTCAAAGGAAATCATTAAGAAAGTGAAAAAAACAACCACAGAGTGAAAATGTAAAATGGTGCAGCCACTTTGGAAAACAGTTTGGCAGGACTTCACAAAGTTAAACATACAGTTACCATATGACCTAAAATTGAAAACATGTTTACATAATGACTTGTACTGAAACATTTGTGGCAGCAGTATTTATAATAGCCAAAAAGTGGAAACAACCCAAATGTCCCTAACTAATGAATGGAGAAGCAAAATATATAATCTATAAAATGGAAAATTATTCAGAAGCACCAAGATGACTGACTAGAAGCAACTAATGTGTGCTGCCCTTAGGGAGAGGAGGAAAGTAGCTAATAAACTCTAACTCTTCAAGTGGATTGTCCAGAAGGCCATATTGGGGTTCACCAAGTCAGCAATGTGACCGACAAAGAGCAGAGAAGAATGAGACAAGACAGCAACCCACCAATTTTGGTGCAGATCCAGGGAAAACTCCCTACCATTGGGAAAGGGTGAGTGAGTGAGAGCCCCTTGGGACCCACACTTGTGCCATGGACCTTTGCAAGCCTGGGCACAGGAAATCTCCCCTGACACCCTTGTGCCTCCAGAGTGACACAGAGAGATGTCTGAAGTCTAATCAGAGTCACCAGTCATGCCTATATGGCACCCCACAGGCTTTGGATCCCTGAGCATCCCAGTGCCAACTGCTGTAGTTCCACCAGCAGGGAAGGTTGTGCTCTCTTATGTGCCCCTTGGAGAAGAACCACATTCACAGTGCTGAGGAGCAGATAGATTGTAGGTCCCACCACCACTGCACCTTATCAGACCAGGCTCATTAACCTGGGACACCAGTGAAGTTACCCCACCTCCCCACCCCCACACCTGGAGCCCTTTGGCTGGTCACAGCTCTCCATTGCTCTGGGATGGAGCAAAGAGCCGCAGAACAGCCCTGGGCCTCCAGCACATCGCAGCTGCCATATGCAAAATCAGCCAGACTCTTCTCCCTTGACCTGGTTCCCCTCCAGGCTAGGGAGGGAACAAAGAGCCTGATTGCTTTGCTGGCACCTCCAGCATGTCACCACTGCTCTACAGAGAGGAGGTCATACTGACTTTCCATTGAACCCCTGCTCTCACTGCTCTTTGCCAGACAGTGCACCTTTACCACATCCTACTTGGCCTCGCAGCACAGCCATCCCAACACCAGTGATTGTCTTCATTGGTAGTGTCTCTGTGTTTCTCTGGGGTGGAGTTCCTGAAGACAAGTGAAGGCCCCTATGCCATCACCACTGCTGAGGTCTCTGCCCCTGCTGCTCCCAAGCTGGGAAAGAAACAAAAAGCCTGAGTTCACCCTAAGGCTGCGTTGCACAGCTCAGGAGTGCTGAGCCCTGATCTGTGGCTGGCAATGGAGGAGAGGAGCCCATACTATGAGAGCACTGAGAAAGGAGAGTCACATGGGTTTGTGGGTTGCCACAGGAATTGGACATGCCTCCCTCTATGGGGAGGGTCCAGAAAGTGGCCTCTCTCCCCTCCTTGGCCTTTGCACAAGGGATCTCCATGGTGCATAATATCTAACAAAAGAAACGTGGGCACAGTGTCAGTGAGAGGAGGGGCATCCTTAAGTCTCAGGAGTGGACCTGGTGAAGGAGTCACCTTTCTCCAACTGCACCACAGAGCACAACTGTAAACATAAGGAAATATGAAAGAGTCATGCCTCTAAATAAGATCCTATCTGCCAGCCATTACTCTTTAGCACAATCTATTGAATTGCACCACAAACTACAACACCAAAAATACTTAGCTAATATATGCTTCTGTAAAATTAAGGACATGAGAAAAGAAATCCGTTCAAGAACTCTGACAATTCAAAAAGCCACAGTGTCCTCCTACCTTCAAACAAGTATACTAGCTCCCCAGGAATGTTTCATAACTTGTTGAAAATGATGAAAAAGACAGTCAGAATTCAAAATCTGGATGGCAGGGAAGTTCATCGAGATTCAGGAGAAAGTTGAAATCCAATCCAAGGAATCCAGGGATCCCAGTAAAACAATCCAAGAGATGAAACACAAAGTAGCCATTTTAAGAAAAAAAACAAACTGATTTTCTATAAGTAAAAAACTCAGAGAATACTATAAACACCTCTACACTAATAAACTAGAAAATCTAGAAGAAATTGATAAATTCCTGGATGCATACACTTTCCCAAGTCTAAACCAGGAATAAGTTGATTCCCTGAATAGAACAATAACAAGTTCTGAAATTGAGGCAGTAATTAATAGCCTAACAACAACAACAAAAAAAGCCTAGGACCAGATGGATTCACAGTTGAATTCTACCACAGGTACAAAGAAGAGGTGGTATCATTCCTTCTGAAACTATTCCAAACAACAGAAAAAGAGGGACTCCTCCCTAACTCATTTTATGAGGCCAGTTTCATCCTGATACCAAAACCTGACAGAAACACAACAAAATTTCAGGCCAATATCTCTGATGAATGTTGATGCAAAAATCCTCAATAAAATACTAGCAAACGGAATCCAGCAGCACATCAAAAGTTTATCCATGAAGAACAAGTCGGTTTCATTTCTGGGATGCAAGGCTGGTTCAACATAGCAAATCAATAAATGTAATCCATCACATAAACAGAACGAATGACAAAAACCACATAATCATCTCAATAGATGCAGAAAACACCTTCCACAAAATTCAACACCCCTTCATGCTAGAAACTCTCAATAATCTAGGTACTGATGAAATGTATCACAAAATAATAAAGGCTATTTATGACAAACCCACAGACAATATCATAGTGAACGGGCAAAAACTGGAAGCATTCCCTTTGGAAATTGGCACAAGACAAGGATGCCCTCTCTCACCACTCCTATTCAACATAGTATTGGAAGTTGTGGCAAGGGCAATCAGGCAAGAGAAAGAAATAAAGGGTATTCAGTATAGGAAGACAGGAATTCAAATTGTCTCTGTTTGCAGATTACATAATTGTATATTTAGAAAACCCAATAGTCACAGCCCAAAATCTCTTTAAGCTGATAAGCAAATCAGCAAAGTCTCAGGATACAAAATCAACGTGCAAAAATCACAAGCATTTTTACACACCATTAATAGAAAAACAGAGAGCCAAATCATAAGTGAATTCCCATTCACAATTGCTACTAAGAGAATAAAGTACCTAGGAATCCAACTTGCAAGGGATGTGAAGGACCTCTTCAAGGAGAATAACAAACCACTGCTCAAGGAAATAAATGGAAAAACATTCCATACTCATGGATAAAAAGAATCAATATCATAAAAATGGCAATACTGCCCAAAGTAATTCATAGATTCAATGCCATCCCCATCAAGCTACCATTGACTTTATTCAAAGAGTTAGGAAAAAAACTACTTTAAATTTTATATGGAACCAAAAAAGCACCCACATAGCCAAGACAATCTTGAGCAAAAAAAAAAAACAAAAAAAACAAAAAAAACAAAGCTGGAGACATCACACTACCTGACTTCAAACTATACTACGATGCTACGGAAACAAAACAACATGGTACTGGTACCAAAACAGATATATAGACCAGTGGAATAGAACCCTCAGAAATAACACCACACATCTACAACCATCTGATCTTTGACAAACTTGACAAAAACAAGAAATGGGGAAAGGATTCCCTATTTAATATATGGTGTTTGGAAAACTGGCTTGCCACATGCAGAAAACTAAGACTAGACCCTTTCCTTACACTTTATACAAAAATTAACTCAAGATGGATTAAAGACTTAAGTATAAGGCTTAAAACCATAAAAATCCTAGAAGAAAACCTAGGCAATACCATTCAGGACATAGACATGGGCAAAGACTTCATGACTAAAACACGAAAAGCAATGGCAACAAAAGGCAAAATAGACAAATAGGATCTAATTAAACTAAAGAGCTTCTGCACAGCCAAAGAAACTATCATTAGAGTGAAACAGCAACCTACAGAATGGGAGAAAATTTTTGCAATCTATCCATCTGACAAAGGGCTAATATCCAGAATCTACAAGGAACTTGAACAAATTTACAAGAAAAACCAATCACATCAAAAAGTGGGTGAAGGATATGAACAGACACTTCTCAAAAGAAGACATGTATGCAGCCAACAAACATATGAAAAAAAAGCTCATCATCACTGGTCATTGGAGAAATGCAAATCAAAACCACAATGAAATGCTATCTCATGCCAGTTAGAATGGAAATCATAAAAAAGTCAGGAAACAACAGATGCTGGAGAGGATGTGGAGAAATAGGAATGCTTTTACAGTGTTGGCAGGATTGTAAATTGGTTCAACCATTGTGGAAGACAGTGTGGCAATTCCTCTTTACAAGAATTTTTAATAGAATCAGCACTATCAACAGCAGAATAGACCAAGCTGAGGAAAGAATCTCTGAGCTTGAAAACAGATTCTTCAAATCGATTAGTCAAAAATAAAGAAAAAATAATTTTAAAAAGTGAATAAAACATCCAAGAAATATAGGATTATGTAGAGACCAACTCTTTGAATTGTTGGCATTCTTGGGAGATAAGGAGAGAGAATAAACAACTTGGAAAATGTATTTTGAGGATATGGTAACAACCAGCTAACAACACAATGACAGGATCAAAATTGCACATATCAATACTAACCTTGAATGTAAACAAGCTAAATGCCTCACTTAAAAAACACAGAGTGACAGGCTGAATAAAAAGACAAGACCAAATTATCTGTTGTCTCCCTGAGACGCATTTCATATGTTAGGGCACAAATAGGACCAAAGAAAAGAGATGGAGTAAGATCTACCATACAAACAGAAAACAAAATAAAAAAAAGCAAGAGTTGCTATTCTTATATCCCATAAAACAGATTTTAAGCTAAAAAGAAGCATGAATAAGGACATTACATAATGACAAAGGATACAATCCAACTAGAAAACATAATTATACTAAATATATATGCATCCGACATTGGAACACCCAGATTCATAAAGCAAGCTCTTCTTATCCTACAAACAAAAATAGACAACCACACCACAATAGTGGGAAACATCAGCAGCACATTAGACATATCATTGAGGCAGAAAACTAGCAAATAAACTCTGAAATTAAATTCAACACTTTACCAATTGTACCTAATAAGCACCTGTGGAATTCTCCACAAAATAATCAGAATATATACATTCTTCTCATCTGCACACAAAACATATTCTAAGATAAATCATAAACTTAATCATAAAGCAAGTCTCAATAAATTTAAAAAATTGAAATTATACCAAGCATACTCTCAGGTCACAGTGCAATAAAAATAAAAATGAATATAAAGAAGATGTCTCAAAACTACAAAATTTCATGGAAATCAAACAACTTGCTCCTGAATAACTCTTAAGTGAACATTGAAATTAAGGCAGAAATTTTAAAATACATTGAAGTTAATGAAAATAGGGACACAACGTACCAAAATCTCTGAGATGTAGCTAAAGCAGTATTAAGATAAAAGTTTATAGCACTAACCACCTCCAACAAGAAGTTGAAAAGATCTCAAATTAATAATCTCACGTTGCACCTAAAGGAAGTAGAATAAAAAGAACAACTCAAAATCTAGCAGAAGAAAAGAAATAACTAAAATTAGAGAAGAACTGAATGAAACTGAGATGCAAAAATTTATTTAAAAGGCCAATGAAACCAAAAGTTGCTTCTTTAAATAATTAATATACTGCCAGCTAGATTAACAAAGAAAAAAACAGAAGATCCAAAAACATGCAATCAGAAATGACAAAGATGACATTACAGCTGAACCCAGAGAAACAGAAAAGATCCTCAGAGCATACTATAAACAACTCTATGCACACAAATTAGAAAATCTAGAGAAGATGAACAAATTCATGGAATCACACAATCTCCCGAGACTGAACTAGAAAGAGATTGAAACACTAACTTTACCAATATCAAATTCAGAAATTGATTTAGTTATTAAAAAAAATACCAATTAAAAAAAGAAAGCCCTAGATTAATTTACAGCTGAATTCCACCAGATGTACAAAGAAAAACTAGTACCAATCTTACTGAAGCTATTTCAATAAATTGAGGAGGCTCCTCCCTAACTCATTCTATGAAGCCAGTATCAGCCTAATACTAAAATCAGACAAAGACACAACCAATAAAAAGAACTTTAAGACAATGTCCCTGATGAACATAGATGCAAAAATCCTCAACAACATATTAGCAAACCTAATCCAGCGGCATATCAAAAGCAAATCGACTATGATTGTGTAGACTTTATTTCTGGAAAAATATTCACAAACTGTGGATCTGTAAAAGGTCTACTATCCAGAATGTATAAGAAACTGAACACATCAACAAGCAGAAAACAACTCCATCAAAAATATGCTAAGAAAATGAACAGACACTTCTTTAAAAAAAACACACAAGTGGCCAAAAACATGAAAAAAATCCCCATTATCACTTATCACCAGATAAATGCAAATTAAAACCATGATGAGGCTGGGCACAGTGGCTCACGCCTGTAATGCTAGCACTTTGGGAGGCCAAGGCAGGTGGATCACGAGGTCAGGAGCTCAAGAGCAACCTGACCAAGATGGTGAAACCCCATCTCTACTAAAAATACAAAAATTAGCCATGAGTGGTGGTGGGCTCCTGTAATCCCAGCTACTCAGGAGGCTGAGGCAGGAGAATCGCTTGGACCTGAGAGGCAGAGGTTGCACTGAGCCAAGATAATGCCACTGGACTCCAGCCTGGATGACAAAGTGAGACTCTATTAAAAAAAAAAAAGAAAACAAAAAAACCACGATGAGACACCAGTCAGAATGACTTTTTATTAAAATATTATACTCTTTAGAAAGGCTATTATTAAAAAGTCAAAAAACAACAGATGCTGGTAAGGCTGTGGAGAAAAGGGAATGTTTATACACCGTTGCCAGAATGTAAATTAGTTCAGCCGTTCTGAAAAGCAGTTTGTAGATTTCTCCAAGAAATTAAGCTTCAAATTAAAAAAAAAAAAAAAAAAACTGAAACAAAAACAAAAAACCAAAAAAAGCAAAAAACGAAAAAACTGTCTCTGGATTTCTGCTGCAGTTTTATAATTTTATAATATATCTAGTATAAAAACAGAATGTATAATTGGATTCTTCAAAATATAGAAATGACATTTATGTCTCAAAAAAAATTAAAAGACAGTTACTATTTGACCCACAATCTCATTACTGGGTATATGTGCCCCTTCCCCCTGCAAAATAGATCATTATACCAAAAAGACACATACCTTTATACGTTCATCACTGTGCTATTAATAATAGCAAAAACAGGGAATAAACCTAGGTGCTCATCAATGGTGGATTGAATAAGGAAAATGTGGTACATGCACACCATGGAATACTATGCAACCATTAAAAAAATGAGATCAGGTCCTCTGCAGCAACATGGATGCAGCTGGAGGCCATTATCCTAAACAAATTAATGAAAGAACAGAAAACCAAATATTGCATGCTCTCACTTATAAATGGGTGCTACACATTTGGTATTCATAGACATAACAATGGCAACAGTAGATACTGGAGACCACTACGGTGTTGGGGGAGGAAGAGGAGAGTGGGTTGCATACTCTGCTCACTATATGGGTGTAATATACCAATGTCACAAATTTGCACATGCATATCCCTGTCTAAAATAAAGTTAAATTGAAAAAGAGAAATGCATTATTCTTGTTCCCACACATAAAAGTAAATTATTCCGTCTTATAAAGAAATAAAGTACTGATACATGCTACGGAATGAATAAACTTTGAAAACATTATAAGTGAAAGAAGTCAGTCACAAGAGACCAAAAACTGTATTGTTTCATTGATGATAAATGTACAAAACAATCAAATACATGAAAATATTAAAATAAACTAGTTATTGGGAAGCAGGGTAAGCAGAGATGTAGTGGAAATGAATGACCGCTAATGACTGTATGTGTATTATTCTATGCTCTCACTGCTACTAAAGTCATACCTGAGACCGGGTAATTTATAAAGAACTTTAATTGATTCAGAGTTCAGCATGGCTGAGGAGGCCTCAGGAAATTTACAATCATGGCAGAAAGAGAAGCAAACATGTCCTTCTTCACAAGGTGCCAGCAAGGAGAAAAGTGAGAGATGAGCAAAAGGGAAAGCCCCTTATAAAACCATAAGATCTCATGGGAACTTACAATCATGAGAATAGCATGCAGAAAACCACCCCAAAACTCAATTACCTCCCACTGGCTTCCTCCCACTACACGTGGGGATTATGGGATTACAATTCAAGATGAGATTTGTGTGGAAATACAAAGCCAAACCATATCATTCCACCTCTGCCCCTCCCAAAGGTCATGCCTTCACATTTCAAAACACCATGCCTTTCCAACAGTCCCCCAAAATCTCAACTCATTCCAGCATTAACCTAAATGTCTAAGTAAGTCCAAATTCTCATCTGAGACAAGACAAAACCCTTCCACCTATAAGCATGCAAAATCAAAAGCAAGTTTGTTACTTCCTACATACAGTAGGGGTACAGGCATTGGGCAAAAATACCACTGCAAATGGGAGAAACTGACCAAAACAAAGGGGCTACAGGTCCCATGCAAGTCCAAAATCCAATAGGGCAGTCATTAAAACTTAAAGTTTTTAAATGATGTCCTTTGACTCCAGGTCTCACATCCAGGGCACACTGATGCAAAAGGGGGGCTCCCATGGTCTTGGGCAGCTCCACCCTTGTGGCTTTGCTGGGTACAGCCCCCCTCCTGGCTGCTTTCATGGCTGGCATTGAGTGTCTGAGTCTTTTCCAGGTACACGGTGCAAGCTGTTGGTGAATCTACCATTCTGTGGTCTGCAGGATGGTGGCCCTCTTCTCACAACTCCACTAGGCAGTGCCTCAGGGAAGACTCTGTGTGGGGGCTCCAACCTCACATTTATTTTTCCCACTGCCCTAACAGAGGTTCTCCATGAGGGCTCCACCCTGGCAGTAAACTTCTGGCTGGACATCCAGGTTTTTCCATACATCCTCTGAGAATTGGGTGGAGGTTACCAGAGCCCAATTTTTGACTTCTGTACAGCTGCAGGCCCAAAACCATGTGGAAGCTGCCAAGGCTTGGGGCTTGCACCCTCTGAAGTAACAGCCTGAGCTGGAAGAGCTGGGACATAGGGCATCAAGTCCAAAGGCTGAACACAGCAGGAGGTCCCTGGATCCAGCCCATGAAACAATTTTTCCCCCTAGGCCTCCAGGCCTATGACAGGAAGGTCTGCAGCAAAAGCCTCTGACATGCCCTGGAGACATTTTCATTATTGTCTTGGTGATTAACCTTCGGCTCTTCATTACTTATGCAAAGTTCTTCAGCTGCCTTAAATTCTCCCCAGAAAAAGGAGTTTCCTTTTATATTTCATCATCAGGCTGCAAATTTTCCAAACTTTTATGCTCTGCTTCCTCTTGAATGTTTTGCCACTTAGAAATTTATTCTGCTAGATACCCTAAATCTTCTCTCTTCCGTTTAAAGTTTCACAGATCTCCAGAGCAGAAGCAAAATGCCACCAGTCTCTGCAAAATAAGAGTGATCTTTACTCCAGTTTCCAACAAGTTTCTCATCTCCATCTGAGACTATTTCAGCCTGGACTTCATTGTCCATATCACTATCAGAATTTTGGTCAAAGCCATTCAAGAAGTCTCCAGGAAGTTCCAAACTTTCCCACAGTTTCCTGTCTTCTTCTGAGTCCTCTAAACTGTTCCAACGTCCGCCTGTTATACAGTTCCTCAGTCACTTTCACCTTTTTTAATATTCACATAGCAGCACACCACTCCCTCAGTACAAATTTACTTTATTAGTCTGTTTTCACACTGCTAATAAAGACATGCCAAGACTTGGTAATTTATAAAGAAAGAGGTTTAATTGACTCACAGTTCAGCATTGCTGGAGAGGCATCAAGAAACTTACGATCATGGTGAAATGGGAAACAAACATGTCCTTCTTCATGTGACAGCAGAAAGGAGAAGAATGAGAGCCAAACAAATGGGGAAGCCCCTTATAAAACCATTAAATCTCACCAGAATTTCCTGACTATCACGAGAATACCAAAGGGGAAACCACCACAATTATTCAATTACCTTCCACCAGGTCCCTCCCACCACAGGAGGAGATGACAGGATTATAATTCAAGAGAGATTTGGGTGAGGACACAAAGCCAAACCATATCAGTATGAAATTTATTTTAGAGGTGTTGGCAATTTTCTAAACTAATATAAAGGTTATGACTGCACACAATTCTTTTAATATTCTATAAACGATTAAACTGTATACTTTAAATTTAGAGTGCATTTTATGGTATGTGAAATGTATCTGAACAATTATGGAGGAAAAAGCTTGAGAAAAATCATAACATTGATAATGCATTTGATGGCATTCATCCAAGTTCAACCATTTATCAGATGTGTATTTTTAAAAAGCTATTTAATTTTCTTGAGTCTCAGGTTCATTTTCTATGAAACACAAATAAGAAGTCCCTAGAGATCAATGCAACAAGAAGAGCTAACTATCCTAAATATATATGCACCCAATACAGGAGCACACAGATTCATAAAGCAAGTTCTTAGAGGCCTACAAAGAGACTTAGACTCCCACACAATAATAATGGGAGACTTTAACACCCCACTAGTCAATACTAGATCAACGAGACAGAAAATAAACAAGGATATTCAGGACTTGAACTCAGCTCTGGACCAAGCAGAACTAGTAGACATCTACAGAACTCTCCACCCCAAATCAACAAAATATGCATTCTCAGCACCACATCGCACTTATTCTAAAACTGACCACATAATCGGAGGTAAAACACTCCTCAGCAAAATCAAAAGAACAGAAATCATAACAAACAGTCTCTCAGACTGCAGTGCAATCAAATTAGAATTTAGGTTTAAGAAACTCATTCAAAACAGCAAAACTACATGGATATTGAACAACCTGCTCCTGAATGACTACTGGGTAAATAATGAAAATAAGGCAAAA
This sequence comes from Homo sapiens, assembly GCF_000001405.40. Classification (NCBI taxonomy): domain Eukaryota; kingdom Metazoa; phylum Chordata; class Mammalia; order Primates; family Hominidae; genus Homo; species Homo sapiens. Next base: position 78,629,527 of record NC_000023.11, on the reverse strand, counting down.
ATAAATCACTTCTTTTAAACCAATGAGAACAAACACATACTGTATCAGAATCTCTGGGACACAGCTAAAACAGTGTTTACTGGGAAATTTATAGCACTAAGTGCCCACAGGAGAAAGCATAAAAGATCTAAAATTGAAACCCTAGCATCACAATTAAAAGAACTAGAGAAGCCAGAACAAACAAATTCAAAAGCTAGCAGAAGACAAGATACAACTAAGATCAGAGCAGAACTGAAGGAGATGGAGACAAGAAAAACCCTTCAAAAAATCAATGAACCCAGGATCTGGTTTTTTGAAAAGATTAACAAAATAGACCATTAGCCAGACTAATAAAGAAGAAAACAGAGAGAAATCAAGTAGAAAAAATTAAAAATGTTAAAGGAGATCTCACCACTGATCCACACAACTACAAACTACAATCAAAGAATGCTATAAACACCTCCACACAAATAAACTAGAAAATCTAGAAGAAATGGATAAATTCCTGGACATATACAACCACCCAAGACTAAAACAGGAAGAAGTCAAATTCCTGAAGAGAACAATAACAAGTTCTGAAATTGAGGCAGTAATTAATAGCCTAACAACCAAGAAAAGCCCAGGACCAGATGGATTCAGAGCCGAATTCTACCAGAGGTATAAAGAGGAGGTGGTATCATTCCTTCTGGAACTACTTCAACCAATAGAAAAAGAAAGACTCCTCCTTAACTCATTTTATGAGACCAGCATCGTCCTGATATCAAAACCTGGCAGAGACACAACAACAACAAAACAAATTTCAGGCCAATATCCCTGATGAATATTGATGCAAAAATCCTCAATAAAATACTTGCAAACCGAACCCAGCAGCACGTCAAAAAAGCTTATCCACCACGATCAAGTCGGCTTCATCCCTGGGATGCAAGGTTGGTTCAAAATATGGAAATGAATAAATGTAATCCATCACATAAACAGAACCAATGACAAAAAACACATGATTATCTCAATAGATGCAGAAAACACCTTCAATAAAATTCAACATTGCTTCATGTTAAAAACTCTCAATAATGTAGGTATTGATGGAACATATCTCAAAATAATAAGAGCTATTTATGGCAAACCCACAGACAATATCATAGTGAATGGGCAAAAACAGGAAGCATTCCCTTTGGAAAGTGGCACAAGACAAGGATGCCCTTTCTCACCACTTCCATTCAACATAGTATTGGAAGTTCTGGCCAGGGTAATCAGGCAAGAGAAAGAAATAAAGCGTATTCAAATAGGAAGACAGGAAGTCAAATTGTCTCTGTTTGCAGATTATGTGATTGTACATTTAGAAAACCCCATCATCTCAGTCCAAAATCTTGTTAAGCTGCTAAGCAACTTCAGCAAAGTCTCAGAAAACAAAATCAATGTGCAAAAATCAAAAGCATTCCTATACACCAATAACAGACAAAGAGCCAAATCATGAGTGAACTCCCATTCACGAATGCTACAAAGAGAATAAAATACCTAGGAATCCAACTTACAAGGGATGTGAAGGACCTCTTCAAGGAGAACTACAAACCACTGCTCAAGGAAATAAGAGAGGACACAAACAAATGGAAAAACATTCCATGCTCATGGATAGGAAGAAGCAGTATTGTGAAAATGGCCATACTGCCCAAAGTAATGTATACATTCAATGCTATCCCCAGCAAGCTACCTTTGACTTTCTTCACAGAGTCAGAAAAAAAATACTTTAAACTTCATATGGGACCAAAAAAGCACCCACATAGCCAAGACTATCCTAAGCAAAAAGAACAAAGCTGGAGGCATCACGCTACCTGATTTCAAACTATACTACAAGAGTACAGTAAACAAAACAGCATGGTACTGGTACCAAAACATATATATAGACCAATGGAACAGAACAGAGGCCTCAGAAGTAATGCCACACATCTACGACCATCTGATCTTTGACAAGCCTAACAAAAACAAGCAATGGGGAAAGAATTCCCTATTTAATAAATGGTGTTTGGAGAACTGGCTAGTCATATGCGGAAAACTGAAACTGGACCCCTTCCTTACACCTTATACAGAAATTAACTCAGGTGGATTAAAGACTTAAATGTAAGACCTAAAATCATAAAAACCCTAGAAGAAAACCAAGGAAATACGATTCAGGACATAGGTATGGGCAAAGACTTCATGACTAAAACACCAAAAGCAATGACAACAAAAGCCAAAATAGACAAATGGGATCTAATTAAACTAAAGAGCTTCTGCACAGCAAAAGAAACTATCATCAGAGTGAACTGACAACCTACAAAATGGTGGGAAAAGTTTGCAATGTATTCATCTGACCAAGGGCTAATATCCAGAATCTACAAGGCACTTAAAAAAATTTATAAGAAAAAAACAAACAACCCCATCAAAAAGTGGGGAAGGATATAAACTAAAGAGCTTCTGCATGGCAAAAGAAACTATCATCAGAGTGAACAGGCAACCTACAGAATGGGAGAAAATTTTTGCAGTCTATCCAACTGACAAAGGGCTAATATCCAGAGTATACAAAGAACTTAAACAAATTTACAAGAAAAAAACAAACAACCCCATCAAAAAGTGGGCAAAGGATATGAACAGACACTTCTCAAAAGAAGACATTTATGCAGCCAGCATATATATGAAAAAAAAGCTCATCATCACTGGTAATTAGAGAAATGCAAATCAAAACCACAATGAGATACCATCTCACACCCGTTAGAATGGCGATTGTTAAAAAGTCAGGAAACAACAGATGCTGGTGAGGATGTGAAGAAATAGGAATGTTTTTACATTGTTGGTGGGAGTGTAAATTAATTCAACCATTGTGCAAGACAGCATGGTGATTACTCAAGGATCTAGAACCAGAAATACTATTTGACCCAGTAATCTCATTACTGGGTATATACCCAAAGGATTATATATCATTCTACTATAAAGACATATGCACACGTATGTTTATTACAGCACTATTCACAGTAGCAAAGACTTGGAACCAACCCAAATGCCCATCAATAATTAGAAAATGTGGCACATATATCCTGTAGTAGTATGAAGCCATATTAAAAGGATGAGTTCATGTCCTTTGCAGGGACATGGATGAAGCCAGAAACCATCATTCTCAGCAAACTTGCACAAGAACAGAAAACCAAACACCACATGTTCTCACTCAGAAGTGGGAGTTGAACAATGAGAACACCTGGACACAGGGAGGGAAACATCACACACTGGGGCCTGTCAGGGGGTCGGGGGCTAAGGGAGGGATAGCATTAGGATAAATACCTAATGTAGACGACAGGTTGATGGGTGCAGCAAACCACCATGGCACCTGTATACCGATGTAACAAACCTGCATGTTCACACGTATCCAAGAACTTAAAGTATAATAAAAAAAAAAAAGTCCCTAGAGTTGTGACAACTAAACAAGGTGATGCATGTAAAGAACTAAGTATAATGACAGGCACATAGTAAATGCTCAGTAAATAACAGTTATCATCTTCAAGTTTCAATAACTTTGTACTAGCCCTAGCTCTTGAATACCCCAATGTGTTCCCAGTTTTTCCACAATAATCTCAAACAAGCAACATCACTTCTCCAATTATTTTCAAGGTTGGTTGTTAGATAAGCAGATGAGCATATTTCCTAGTCATTTCATTTGTTTGCCTGCCTGCTTGCCTTCCTGAATTTTGGTGATGGGAGTGAGAGTTGACACATTAACAAGAAGACTTGCAAAGCTAAGAAAAAAACAGGATCTATATCTTCAGATATTATCTAGAGCATGTTTCCATTTTCTGTTTCAGGACCTGTACTAAGGCCTCACAGCCCTCTTAGGCAATGCTCAAAGAAGTTTAAGTGAGTTAAAACCACTGTGGGCAATCCTAAACTACCCCTATTTCCTCCATAAAGAACTTCAATAATGCTTTCCTAATACTGGCATTTCTTTCTGCCCTGTCTCATGCTCCCTGCTGTCTTATTTTTGCTTCTTAGGCTCACCTCCCTAATAAACCACCGACTCTCAAGTCCTTATCTCAGGATCTGTCTTGTGGGGAACCCAAAGCAAGACAAGCAGGGGTCATAGTACTCTACACTGAGTACGTGTCATATCCCTCAGTTATGAGGGAGCAATTTATACAAGGAAGGCAATTGGGATTGTTTTTTTAAAATGCAGGAAGAGTTTATTTGTCTGCCTGAAACTCACTGAAGTTTCAGGCAGACAAATAACATATGTGTGTTGGATTCAAATGCTAAGGGAAATAATTGTGAGGGAGTGGAAAGAGTGTTCCAAGTTTGAACTTTTTCAGTGTCCCAGTTCTGCCATTTATTTATTATGTGATCTATTTCAGTTTCACAGTTTCTTGGCCATCAATTGATAGGAAGTGCAATACCAGAAAAAGAACACTAGATTTGGAGGCAGTAAACACAGGTTTTAATGAGTTCCAGCTTTGCATTTTCACAGCTGTGAAATCTCAAGAAAGTCCCTTAGTCTTTCCAAGCCTATTTCTTCATTTGTAAAATGAGGAAAGTTACACTTCCCTCAAGAGGCTGTTGATAATACCAAATGAAACAAACAAAAAAAGTAAACATACTTTGTAATTTCCAAAGTATCATCCAAATGTGATATTTTTAAAATAATTTTGAAGCAAGTAAAATACATCACTCTTAACTGACAGGTAGCTGTGAAGACATTGTTTTTCTGTGTTTTAATTGAGGTACAATGGAGCCAAGTTTGTTGTATTAGGCCATTTTATACTTACTGAGAAGTATGTTCTCACACTTTAACAGGGCTGATACTTTAAGCCATCCAAAAAAAATTTGAATATCTACCTCCTTAAACAGCTGTAGAGGATAGAATAGCTCCCATTCCTCTGGCTACCAGCTGGATGGTATGGGACAGCCTCCATATGACCTTGAGTGCCCACAAACATCCAAGCCTGAAGGCAGCAAGTCTAATACGTGTTGGTCATAATTTTCACCTAAGAATGCATTGCTAAAAGGCAAATCTATCAGGAAAATCTCAAATGACAGGACTTATTCTCAAATCTACTACAAGTTTTCAACATCTGGGTGAGCCATTTATCAGTGAAATAGCAGGCATGCAAGCAAGAGACTTGACAAATAAATTTGGGAACATCACACAGCTATGTCTAATCATAATTTCATTATCAATATCGGCCATTAGCATTTCATGGGAATAATATGTAAGAAATTCCACCAATAGGAAACATTTGTTAGTAATAACTCAAACTCTTTTAAAAATTGTTTCATCAAATCTTAATTGTAAAAATTTATACAAAGCCTTAAATAAAGAAGGGCATCACTAAGGAAGGAGTTAAATAGGAATAAAGATTCAAGAATGTCTCTCTTTGGGTTCAAAATGAAGCCTCAATAGGACTATATAACAGGTCCATATGTAATCTCTTGACAATCCACTCCTTTCATTCCAGCCAAATAATGGGTTTCTTGGTGTCCTTCAAATACCTTTTCACCTTATTGTCATACAAAAGCAGATAATTCTGTCTTCTTTTTTAAACTTTTATTTTAAGTTCAGGGGTACAAGTGCAGGTTTGTTACATAGGCAAACTTGTGTCATGGCAGTTTGTTATACGGATTATTTCATCACCCAGGTATTAAGCCTATTACCCATTAGTTATTTTTTCCTGATTCTCTCTCTGCTCCCACTCTCCACCCTCTAAAAAACCCCCAGTGTGCATTGTTCCCTTCTATGTGTCCATGCATTCTTATCATTGAGCTCCCACTTGTAAGTGAGGACATGTGGTATTTGGTTTTCTGTTCCTGTGTTCGTTTGCTAAGGATAATGGCCTCCACTCCATCCATGTCCCTGAAAAAAAAAAAAAAAAAAACCATGATCTCATTCTTTCTTATGGCATTCTTAGGCTTTCTTCTCATTTTAGGAACCATGGAAGAAATACATGCTGCCACTATGATCGGCCAGAAATATAGAAACCCTTGATTATCTGTCTTTCTTATTCCCACCCCTACCAACCATAATCTCAGCATGGCTGTAGCACTAAAATCATAAGTAGGTTTTTTTTTTCCATCAAATGCTACTGACCCAAAATAGGGAAAAAATTATTCAAAGGTCAACACATAAGTTAAAACCATCTTTACTAACTCAGATTTTTTGAAGAGTGAGCAGAGTTTCAGGTCCTCTGATTTTTAAGTTCAGGAAATAAAACAAAATTTTCTTAAAGTAAGTAAAATATGCATATATATATATATATATATATATACGTACATATATACATATACATATTTTGTATTTAAAGAGAAAGAGAGATACTTAGAGTGCAGAGCATCAGAATTTGGGGGTAGGCATATGATAAAAATTGAAATAATAAAACAAAGGAAAGAGACAAGCATTCATTTCTCCCATCCTGGAACACATCCCCACATCACTAAATGCTGTGCCTCATCAGGAAGCCTCCCTACTCCCACTTCTACTCCCATCCTACATTCCTAGAAATTCTGACCCACCCTCTCCCCTGAGCCCTACGAATTGTGTGCTTCCCTGTTCTCTGAATTTGGACCATCTTTCAAGTATTTAAAAGATGCCTTCTCTCCATGCAATAGTCTCTTTGATTTGGCCAAGTAGTTATGTTGTGGTTGCTTTTTTTTTTTTTTTTTTTTTTTTTCAAATCCCTGATACTTTTGATCTCCAGCCACATCTATCCTGGGTTTTAGATAGTTTCCAGCCTTTTTCTCAGTTATTAACTTTTGAAATTCTACTGTCCAGGTTGTTTATCTACTCAATGTCTGCATTTTGTCAATGTTTCATTTTCAAAATCAGAAAAACTATCTAATAGATTTCTTTGGTTTTTCATCTCCCTATATAATGGTGAATTTTCTGGAATTTCAAAGTTGAAAGCAATTATGAAGGCCATCAAGTCTACCTCATTTGTTAGAACTTTAACCTTCCCCAGCCCACATCCCTTCTACCCAGACTGTGGACCCTCTGGCTATTTAAAATTTTTTTCCTTAGATTTAGCTGATGTCTTTCTTGATGCAGTTTTCTCCAAGAGACCACACGGAACAAAATTGTCACTGTTTCCCTGTGACAACCCTTCAGCTCTCTGAATAAAGCTACCTTATCCCCTACCTCACTGAAACCCCAAGACGTTTCCAGATTAAACAAACCCAATTCCTTTTACAATTGGTATACGCCATATTTTCAAAGTCGTACAACAGATATTCTTATTGTTTTCATCAAAATAATTTTATTATCATTATTAATATTACATAGTTTCTGTCTACAAGGAGAAAAGACTTTTGTCTTGGAATACCGTGTTTATCTTAAGGGCATTTAGAATATAACTACTGAATATGCTTAAATTTATGATAATGTTTTAGTTTGTATCATAAAAGAGTTTAATAATTGAACAAAAAGCTACTGAATAACATGCTTAAATGTCAGGGAAGTCTTTCCTGATCTCCTCTCCCTGCCAAGTAAGCTAGATAACCTTGGATTTTTCCTCTATGGCATTTTCATCACCGTAACTTATTTTTCAAATTAGCTGTTTAATTACATCTCCCTCAACAGACTATAAGCTCTAAGAAAGCAAAGAGTAAAGATTAAAGTTTGCAACCTCAGGTTCAGTGCCTGGCACATAATGGAGCTCTTAAAAATATTTGTTGATAGAATGCCTGAATCAAAGAGCTTTGTTACAGTCTTGAAACTAAAAGATACTTTAAAGACTTTATTTTTCAGATAGGTAAACTGAGGCCCAAGGAGGTCAAGGGATTTACCCAAGGCTACACAGCTGTTTGGTGAGATAACTATAATTTTACATTTTGACAACCCTCCTAATCCACTGATGTCCTATGATTTTAGGATATGCTAATATAGTTAATACAGTGGCTCTAACTATGCTGGTGGCCAAACTGATAATCCTCTATCCATTGATTTCCTCATTATCAAGCTGAAGCAATCTACACATAAAACTACGTTTTTAAAAATAGAGTATAAAATTGTTACATTACATTACTGCTGGTTTGAATTGAGAATTCACAATACTCAGATTAACTATGTTATCCTGTTCACCACGGGAGCTTCATAAATATTAAAGAAAAAAAAATAAGACAACTCAAGTTTTTTGGTTGAGAGGAGGCTCAACTGTTTCTTTCCTCAGGTTTTGCCACTTTAGACCTGCTCTGTCCAACACGCTAGCTACTAACCACATGTTGTTAGCATAAATTGGGATGTGCTGTAAGTGTAAAATAAACACCAGATTTCTAAGACTTGATGCAAAAAGGATGTAAAATATTTAATAAAAATTTTATATTGATTACATGATGAAACACTAATACTTTGATATACTAGGTTAAATAAAGTCTATTAAAATTAATACTACTTTTATTTGTATAAATTTGAGGGGTACAAGGGCCATTTTGTAACATGGACATATTGCCTAGTGGTTTAGTCTGGGATTTTACTGTAACCATCACCCAAATAATGTACATTGTACCCATTAAGTAATTTTTTATTCCTCAATCCCCTCCCAGCATCCCGCCCTGAGTCTCCAATGTTTTTTTAAATACTTTTTACAGGACTATTAGAAAAAAATTAAATTATATATGTGACATGCATTCACAATTTAAAACTCTCAGAAAGTTAGGAATAGAGGCAGACTTCCTAAACTTGATAAAGAACATGTATAAAAAAACCTATAGCTAACACCATATTTAATGGTGAAAGGCTGAGTGTTTTTCTGATAATATAAGGAAGAGGCCACAATATCAGTCTCACCACTCTTATTTAACATAATACTAAAGTTAAAGCCAACGCAGTAAGCAAGGCAAACAAATATAAAGCGTATGAATTGGAACGGAAAAAATAAAACTGGGAAGGCAGAGCAAGATAGCTGAATAGACGCCTTCACCAATTGTCTCTCTTACAGGAACATCAATTTACACAAATTTTACATTAAAAGAATCTTAATGAGAACCAAAAATCAGGTCAGCAATTACAGGACCTGGTTTAACTCCATATCACTGAAAGAGGCACTGAAGATGGTAAAAAATAGTCTTGAATTTCTGACAGTGCCCCTTCCCCATCTCCTGCCAGTGGCCATGTGGCAAAGAAAATCTGTGTGCTTGGGGGAAGAAAATTGTGGCAATTGTGAGACCCTGCATTGAACTCAGTGTGGCCCTGTTTACAGCAGAAAGCAAAAACAGGCTAAACTCAGCCAATGTTTGAACACAGAAGGAGCATTTACACCAACCCCAACCAGAGGGGAATTGCGCATCCCAGCAGTGAGAACTTGAAATTCAGCAAGCCTTACCACCATGGGCTAAAGGGCTCTGGGGTCCTAAATATATCTGAAAGTCCATCTGAGCTGCAAAGACTACAATTCCTAGGCAATTGCTAGTGCTGTTCTGGGCTCAGAGCCAGTGGATATGGAAAACCAGCCAGGGCCGCAAAGGAAGTACTTGAACCACACCTCCCTCAACACCAAGCAGTGCAGCTTGAAGCAACAAAAGTGACTCCTTTCTTCTGCTTGAGGAGACGAGAGGGAAGAGTAAGGAGGACTTTGTCTTGCACCTTGGATACCAGCTCAGAAACAGTAGGATAGGGCACCTGGCAGAGTCATAAATCCCTGAGTCCAGGCCCTAGCTGCCAGAGAACAATTCTAGGCACACCCTGGGCCAGAAAGGAACCCACCGCCTTAAAGAGAAAGGCTCAATCCTGGCAAGATATATCACTGGCTGACTAACAAGCCCTTGGTCCTGGAAGAACCATCAGAAATACACAAGTCATAAGTTATAGGCCATTGATAAGACACTGGGACATGTTGGCTTCAGGTACCAGCTCTGCCACAGTAGAGTAGAGCACCAAGTAGGCTCTTGGGGTCCTTGATTCTAGGTCTTGGCCCTTGGATGGCATTTCTGGACCTACCCTGGGCCAGAAGGGAGCCCACTGTCCTGAAGGGTGAGTCCCAGGCCTGGCAACATTCACCACAAGCTGACTGAAGAAGAGCCCTTGGGTGTTAAGTGAATATTGGCAGTAACACAGCAATAGCCCCCATGGGTCTGTGGTGGTGGTGGCCATGAGGAGAGGTTTCTTTGCCTGTAAAAAGGGGAGAAAAAAAGGGGGGGAGGAAAAAGTACAAATGACTTTTTCTCATAATTTGAGCACCAGCTTAACTGCAATAGAAGAAGGCACCGGGTAGATTTCTAAAATTTAAGACTTCAGCCCCAGGCTCCTAGAGAGCATCACTGACCAGCCTAGGGTCTGGGGAAACTTGCAGCCATAAAGGGAAGAACACAAGCCTGGCTGGCTTTACCATCTGCTGATTATAGAGCCCTAGATCCTTGAGCAAATATAGGTGGTAGCCAGGTACTAGTTACACTGGGCCTTGTGCGAAACCCAATGATGTGCTGCCTTTAGGTTTGATCCAGTGCAGTCCCAGTGCTGGTGGCCCCAGAGGCACTTGTGTCCTCCCCCCCCCAGTTCCAGATGGCACAGCACAGAAAGAGAGAGACTTCATTTGTTAAGGAGAAAGTAAGGAAAGAGAACAAGAGTTTGCCTGGTAATTCAGGTAATTTTTTTGGATCCTATCCAAGACCAACAAGGTGGTACCTCTGCAGGTTTGCAAGAATCATAGTGTTCCTGGGCTTCGGATGCCCTCTAATGCAGATACAGCTTAGATCACAACACACAAGTCCCTTTGAATACCTGGAAAATCTTCCCAAGAAGGACAGGTACAAATAAGCCTAGAGTATAAAGATCACAATAAATACCTAACTTTTGAATGCCCACACAGACAAAAATTCACAAACATCAAGACCATCCAGGAAAACATGATATCAACAAATGAGATAAATAAGGCTCCAAGGACCAATCCTGGAAAAACAGAGATATGTGATCTCTCAGACAGAGACTTCAAAGTAGCAGTTTTGAGGAAACTCAAAAATATAAGAAAACAAGCAGAAGGAATTCAAGAATAATATCTGATAAATTTAACAATAACATTGAAATAATTAAAAATAATAAAGAAGAAATTCTTCCATTGAAAAATGCAATTGGCATACTGAAGACTGCATCAGAGTTCTTCAATAGCAGAATTGACCAAGCAGAAGAAGCAGTTGGTGAGTTTGAAGACAAGCTATTTGAAAAACAGAAAGTCAGAGGAGATAAAAGAAAACAAATAAAAACAATAAAGGACACTTATAAGATCTAAAAAATGGCCTCAACAAAGCAAACCTAAGAGAAATTGAACTTAAAGAGGAGGTGGAAAATGACTTAGGAGTAGAGAGATTATTCAAAGGAATAATCACAGTCAACTTCCAAAACCTAAGGAAAGGCATCAATATTCAAGTACAAGAAAGTTGTAGAACACCAAGCAGATTTAACCCAAAGAAGACTACCTCAAGGCGTTTAATAATCAGGCTCCCAAAGGTCAAGTATAAAGAAAGAATCCTAAAAGCAACAAGAGAAAATAAACGAATAACACAATGGAGGCCCAATACGTCTCACAGCCAACTTTTCAGTGAAAATCCTACAGGCAAGGAGAGAGTGGCATGAGATAAAGTGCTGAAGGAAAAAGCGCTTTTACCCTAGAAAAGTATATCTGGTGAAAACATCCTTCAAACATGAAGGAGAAATACATTCCCAGGCAAACAAAAGCTGAAGGATTTCACCAACACCAGACCTTTCCTACCAAAAATGCTACAGGGAGTTTTTCAGTATGAAAGAAAAAGACGTTAATGAGAAACAACAAATAATCTGAAAGTATAAAACTCACTGATAATATTAAGTACCACAGAAAAAAAACAGAATATTATAAGGTTGTAATTGAGGTGGGTAAATTATTCTTATCTTAGGTCGAAAGACTAAAAAATGAACCAATGAAAAATAATAACAACAAGGTTTCAAGACACAGACAGTATGACAATACAATAAGATATAAATAAAAACAACAAATAGCAAGGAAGAAACTTAATGTGTAGAGCTTTTATTAGTTTTCTTTTGCCTTGTTCATTTATACAATCACTGTAAAGTTGTTTTCGGTTTAAAATCAGAGACTGCAAGATTGTATTTGCAAGTCTCATGGTAACCTCAAATCAAAAAATATATAAAAGATACACAAAAAATGAAAAGCAAAAAATTAAATCATACCACCAGAGATCACCTTCATTAAAGGGAAGACAGTAAGGGAGAGAATACCACAAAACAAACAGAAAACAAATAAAAAAATCCAGGAATAAGTTCATACTTATCCCTTACAGTGTTGAATGTAAACGGACTAAACTCTCCAATAAAAAGTTGTAGAGCGGCTGAATAGATAAGATAAGCAAGACCCAATGATCTTTGGCTTACAATAACCACATGTCGCCTATAAAGATATACACAGATGCAAAAAAGGAGATGGAAAAAGATATTTTATGTCAATGGAAACCAAACAAGAGGTGGGGTAGCTATGCTTGTATTAGGCAAAATAGGTTTCAAGACAAAAACTATAAGAAGAGACAAAAAGGTCACTATATAATGCTAAATGGGTCAATTCAGCAAGAGGATATAATTGTAAACATATATGCACCTAATACTGGAGCATCTACATATATAAAGCAAATATTATTAGAGCAAAAGAGAGAGATAGACTGCAGTACAATAATAGCTGGACACTTCCACACCCCACTTTCCGCATTGGGTACATCTTCCAGATAGAAAATCTGCAAACAAATATCAGACCTCATCTGCACTATAGACTAAATGGACCTAACAGATATTTAGAGAACATTTCATCCAATGACTGCAGAATACACATTATTTTTCTTAACTTATGATTAATTCTCAAAACACTATATATTAATTCACAAAATTAGTTTTAAAACATTCAAAAAATTTTAAATGTTATCAAGCATCTTCTCTGACCACAGTGGAATAAAACTAGAGATCAATACAAAGACAAATTTTGGAAACTGTGCAAACACATGGAAATTAATCAATATATACTTAAATGACCAGTGGGTCAGTGAAGAAATTAAGAAAGAAATTTTAAAATTTCCTGAAACAAATGATAATAAAAACATAAAATACCAAAACCCATGGGATACAGAAAAAGCAGTACTAAGAGGAAAGTTTTTAGCTATAAGTGCCTACATCAAAAAAGAAAAAAAGAACATTCAAATATATAACATAATGATGCATCTTAAAGACCCAGAAAAGCAAGAGCAAACCAAATCCAAATTAATAGAAGGAAGAAAATAATAAAGATCAAACAGAAATACATAAAATTGAAATGAAGAAAACAATACAAAAGATCAACAAAATGAAGAGTTAGGTCTTTTTGGAAAGATAAACAAACCTGACAAGCCATAAGCCAGACTAAAAAAAAAAAAAAGAGAGAGAAGACACAAATAAATAAAATCAGAGATAAAAAAAGGAGACGTTACAACTGATACTGCAGAAATTCTTAGGATTACTAAGAATTTCTATGTAGTGGCTACTATGAGCAACTGCATGCCAATAAATTGGAAAACCTAGAACTGGATAAATTCCTAGACACATACAACCTAACAAGATTGAACCATGAAGAAATCCAAAATTTGAACAGACAAACAACAAGTGATAAGATAGAAGCCATAATAAAAATTTTCTGAGCAAAGAAAAGCCAAGGACCTGATGGTTTCACTGCTGAATCCTACCAAATATTTAAATAATAACAATTCTACTCAAACTATTGTAAAAAATAGAGGAAGAGGGAATATTACCAAACTCATCCAAAGACACCAATATTACCCTGACACCAAAACCAGAAAAAGACACACACACACACACACACACACAAACTATTGGCCAATATAACTAATGAATATTGTTGCAAAAATTCTCAACAAAATGCCAGGAAATTGAAATCAACAACACATTAGAAAGATCATTCTTCATAACCAACTGGGATTTATCCCAGAAAGGCAAAGGTGGTTGAACAGACACAAGTCATTCAGTATAATGCATTATATCAACACAATGGAGGACAAAAACCATACAGTCATTTCAATGGAGGACAAAAACCATACAATCATTTCAACCAATGCTGAAAAACACTTGATAAAATTCAACATACGTTTGTGATAGAAGCCATTAAAAAACTGTGTATAGAAGGAACATGCCACAACATAACAAAAGCTATATACAACAGACCCACAGCTAGTACTATACTGAATAGGAAAAAGCTGAAAGTCTTTCCTCTAAGATCTGCAACACAACAAATATGCCTGCTTTCACTGCTGTTATTCAACACAATCACAATACTTGAAGTTTCTTAGCTCAAGTAATCAGACAAGAGAAAGAAATGACAGCCATCTTATCTGAAAAGAAAGAAGTCAAAATATTTTTGTTAGCAGATAATTTGCTCTTATATTTGGAAAACCAAAAATATACCACAAAAAAAACTATCAGAATCCATTAACAAATTCAGTAAAATTGCAGGATAAAAATCAACATACAAAAGTCAGTAGCATTTCTGTATGCAAAGTGAGTATTCTGAAAAATAAATCAAGAAAGTAATCACATTTACAGTAGCTACAAATAAAATTAAGTTTCTAGGAATTAACTAAGCACAGAAGTGAAAGATTTCTATAAATAACAAAAACTATGAAATATTAGTGCAAAAAATTAAACATGATACAAAAAATGAAAACAATGCATTGGAAGAATAAATATTGTTAAAATGCTTATATTTTCCAAAGCAATTTACACATTTCAATCTCTATCAAAATTTCAACAATATTCTTTATAGAAATAAAGAATATATACATTTTTATGGAACCAAAAAAACACCCCAGAATAGCCAAAGCTATTCTGAGCAAAAAGAACATAACAGAAGAGATCACATTATTAGACTTAAAATTATACTACAGGGCTATAGTAACCAAAACAGCACAATACTGGCATATTTATTTACTAAGTATTTAAAAACTAAGAACTTACTCATGTAAGTAAACACCACCTGTTCCCCAATAACTTGTAGAAATACAAACATATAAAAAAAGTTTTAAAAAGACTGTCAATATTTTTAATAAAACAAGAAAACATTGGAAAAAACCCTCCAGGACATTGGATTAGGTAAAGATTTCTTGAGTCATACCCCACAAGCACGGGCAACAAAAGCCAAAATTTACAGATACAATCACATTAAGTTAAAAAGCTTCTGCACAGCAAAGGAAACAATCAACAAAGTGAAGAGACAACCCCAGAACAGGAGAAAATATTTGAAAACTACTTATCTGACAAGAGATTAATAATCAGAATATACAAGAAACTCAAACAAATCTGTAGGAATAAAAATCTAATCATCCAATTTAAAAATGGGCCAAAGACCTGAATAGACATTTCTCAAAAGAAGACATACAAATGGCAAGCAGGTATACGATAAGTTGCTCAACATCAGTCATCATCAGAGAAATGCAAATCAAAACTACAATCAGATATCTTACCCCAGTTAAAATGTCTTTTATCCAAAAGAAAAGCAATAACAAATGCTGGTGAGGATGTGGAGAAAAGAGAACCCTTGTATACTGTTGGTGGGAATTTAAATTAGAAAAACCACTATGAATAAAAGTTTGGAGGTTATTCAAAACACTAAAAATAGCATTACCATATGATCCAGCAATCCTACTGTTAGGTATATACTCAAAAGAAAGGAAATCAGTATATCGAAGAGACATCTGCACTTCCATGTTTATTGCAACACTCTTCACAATAGCCATGATTTGGAAGCAACCTAAATTTCCATCAACAGATAAATGGATAATGAAAATATAGTACACATACACAATGAAGTACTCTTCAGCCATAAAAGAGAATGCGATACTGTCATTTGCAACAGCATGGATCGGACAGGAGATGGTTATGTTAAGTGAAATATTCCAGGCACAGAAAGACAACCTTCACATATTCTCATTTATTTGGGGAAGCTAAAAATTCAAAGAACTGAACTCATGAAGATAGCGAGTACAAAGATGGTTACCAGAGACTGGGAAGTGTAGTGATGATTGTGCAGGGGAAGCAGGGATGGTAAATGTGTACAAAATAGAAAGAATGAATAAGACCTAGTATTTGATAGCACAACATGGTGACTATAGTCAGTAATAGTTTAGTTGTACATTTAAAAATAACTAGAAGAGTATAATTGGATCGTTTATAACACAAAGGATAAATGCTTGACCAATGGATATCCTGTTTATCCTGATGTGATTATTACACATTGCAGCCTATATCAAAATAATGATATAGGCATGTCAAAATATTCACATACCCATACATATATACATCTACTATGTACCCACAAAAATTAAAAATTTCAAAAATTTAGAAATTTTTTCAACCCTATAAAAATAAAGAAGAAAACTACCTCTTTTTTCAGATATAATTGTTTGCATCAGAAATCCCAAATAATATATTTAAAATTCTGGAACTAATAAGTGAGTTCAGCAAGGTCACAGAATATAAGACTAACAGAAAATATCAATCATGTTTCTATACACTAACAATGAACATATGAAAACCAAAATTAAAAACACAAGACCATTTATAGTTACTCCAGAGTAAATGAAGTACTTAGGTATAGCCTTGAGATACATGTACTAGATCTATATGCTGAAAATTTCAAAATGCTGATGAAATAAATTGAAGAGGACGTAAATAAACAGAGATACACCATGTTCATGAATTGAAAGTTTCAACATAGTAAAGATATAAATTCTTCCCAAATTAATCTACAGGTTTAATGCAATTCATATAAAAATCCCAGCAAGGTGTTTTAGAAACACAGGCAAGCCCACTCTCAAATTTATAGGAAATGCCATGAGCCCTATAATAGCAAAAACAACATTGACCAAAAAAAGTGGGACAAATTACTCTACCTGGTGTTAAATGTTACTGTTCACTTACAATAACTGAGACAATGTGCTTTTGGTAGAGAGATAAACATAGGGTCAATGAACAGAATTGAGAATACAGGAACAGACCCACACAAATATGCTTAACTGAATTTTGACGAAGATGCAAAACCCAATGAATTGGTGCTGCAACAATTGCAAACCCATGGGGGCAGGGGAAATCTTCACATCTTATACAAAAGATAATTTGAAATGGAACATAGATTTAAATGTAACACATAAAACAACAAAACTTTTAGAAAAAAGTCATAAGAGCAAATTTTCAGAATCTAGAGGTAGGCAACGAGTTCTTAGAGTTGAAACAAAAACACGACACATAAAAAGAAAACTTGAGCTATGCACAGTGGCTCATGCCTGTAATCCTAGCACTTTGGGACACAGGCAGGAGGATTGCTTGAGCCCAGGAGTTCAAGAGAGCCTGGGAAACTTAGTGAGATTCTGTTTCCACAAAAAAAATAAAATACAGTAATTAGCCTGGCATAACTGTGCATGTCTATAGTCCCAGCTACTCAGAAGGCTAAGGTGGGAGGATTACCTGAGCCTGGGAAGTCGGGGTCATGGTGAGCCACAATAATGCCACTGCACTCCAGCCTGGGTGACAGAGTGAGACCCTGTTTTCTTTGGGCTTTGGTTTTTTTTAAAAAAAGAAAAATTGGCAAATTAAATCTCACCAAAATTAAAAACTTTTACTCTTTGAAAGTCCGTGTGATAAGACAAGCTACAGACTTGGGGGAAATATTTACAAACAACATATCTGACAAAGAACTAGTATCTAGAATATATAAAGAACCCACAAAAGTCAACTAAAAGAATGCTATTAAAAATCGGCAAAAGGCATAAAAATATATTTCACAAAAGAGGGTATACAGATGAAAGATGACAAACACATGAAATTTGTTCAACGTAATTAGCCATGATGTACATAAAATTAAAATTACACCTATCCTATAAGAGTGGCTAAAATAAAAATAGTGACAACATCAAATACTGGATGCAGAGCAACCAGATCACTCATACACTGATGGTAGGAATGTAAAATAATACAGCTATTCTGGAAAACAGTTTTTCAGTTAACTATAAAACTCAACATGTGTTCATCATATGACCCAGCAACTACACTCTTAGGCATTTATTCCAGATAAATAAAAGCTTATGCTCATAGCTGTTTTATTTGTAACAGCAGCCAAAAGATGAGAACAAATTATATGCCCTTCAGTGGGTGAATAGTTAAATTGTGATACATCAACACCATAAATTACCACTCCGCAACAGAAAGGTATAAACTATTGAAACACGCAATAACTTAGATTAATCTACAGAGAATTATGCTGTTATTACGTCTTTCCTTAAATGTCACAAACTATGTGATTTCATTCATATAACATTCTTGAAATGACAAACTTGTAGAGATAGCGAAGGTATCAGTGTTTGTCAGGGGGTGGGGGTGGAGGTGGGCGGGTGGGAGGTAAGTAGATATGGCTGCAAAAGTGCAACACAAGGAATCTTTGTGGTGACGAAACTGTTCGGTATCTTGACTGTTGAATATATAAACCTACATGTGTAATAAAATTGTATATAGCTAAATACACACACACAAAACAGTACAAGTTAAACTGGAGATCTCAGGAAAACTGATGAATTATATGCATATCAAAATGCAGGTTGTGCTATTTTACTGCAGTTTGGAAAAATGCTATCATTGAGGGTAACAGTATTTCTCTATATTTGTTCTTACAAATGTATGTATATCTATAATTATCTCAATAAAAATTCAATTAAAAATCACTTATGTGGCTCACATTACATTTCTATTCAAGAGCAATGCTCAAGAAAATTATCTTTCTACTTTTTAAATAATAGCTAGTCCTCAAAATGGAAATTGATTCAAGTGTTAAAACTTTAGCGCTAAGTAAAACCCTCTGTGATCATGTTGAACTTAAAGGCTATTTGCCTTAATGCATTCTAACTTAAATATTCAATATTAGAATTAGATTCTTAAAAGACTGCCTATGGCATGGATATTCTGGCAGTAAATTTTGATCTAGATTTGCAATGTAAGTCTCCAGAGACTGAAAATATGGCTATGCACCTGAATCTATACAATGCATGCTTGTCATAACCTATATTGTATACAGTTTGCACACCTCAAAGCATCTCACATATATTGTCTAATTTGATAATCAAAAGAGTGCAATCTTACCTATAGGTATCAGTCTTCCCGCTTAACAGACAAGGATATAGACTCAAATTACTTGACATTAAATGACTTGTCCAAGGTCACCTCAGCAGTAATTGATGGAATCAGAACTTGAATCCAGGTCTACTGACTCCAAGCATACCACAAAAATCACCTAACCTCAAGTGAAACATTATTCCTCTTCCTGCTTCTTTCTCTTTTTGGGGGGCGGGGAGGGGAGGAGGCAGAGTTTCCCTCTTGTCACCCAGGTCTTGGCTCACCACAACCTCTGCCTCCTGGGTTCAAGCGATTCTCCCACCTCATCCTCCTGAGTAGCTGAAATTACAGGTGTCCGCCACCACACCCAGCTAATTTTTGTATTTTTAGTAGAGACGGGGTTTCGCCATGTTAGCCAGGCTGGTCTTGAACTCCTGACCTCAGGTGATCCACTCACTTTGGCCTCCCAAAGTGTTGGGATTGTAGGCATGAGCCACTGTGTCCCAGTCCTTCTTCCTGTTTCTAATCTCTATGACTAGCTACCTAGTTCCCCACGCTATTTCCTCAACCCTTCCCCTTTTCTCTTTTACCAAATTCCTCATCTCCAATATTATCACCTTTCTGTTTAAACCAACCATCAACAACTCTCCCTCAGGCTCTGTCGTGTTTAATTTTATGTCTAGATTCTTTTTGTAGTCCCTTTTGGATTTGATTTTGGATGTTTTCCTCAGTTCTTATTTAGAACTTCCAAAGATATTTCCTCTAGTCTGTTTCTCCCAATTTGTTTCTTTAGGGAAAAGAAAAAAAAAAACCTCAATGACAGTTTGACCCATTCAAGATAAAGCCTGAACAATTTAGCATGGCAAATAAGCCTCTCTCATGATCTAGTTCCCAAGCATAACTGACAGCTTAGTAACTTTGGGCAAGTTGCCCAGCCTCCCGAATTCTCATTTTCTACCTCTGTGCAACTGGGATAATAGTAATAGATAGTATTGTTTCAAGGTTTAAATAATGTACATAAAGCATTTATCTACATCGAGTACTTGTAAGTGCTCGGTAAATATTAACTACTACTGCTACTTACTACTAATAACTACTGCTACTACTTACTACTAGTAGTAGTTTCTAGTAGTTGTAGTGGCGAAACTCTCTCTCCTCCCCTCCCCGCCCCCAAAAAAGAGAAAGAAACAGGAAGAGGAATAATGTTTCACTTGAGGTTAGGTGATTTTGTGGTATGCTTGGAGTCAGTATAGACCTGGATTCTACTACTTACTACTACTAGTAGTTTCTAGTAGTTGTAGTAGTAGTAGATAGTAGTAGTAGTAGTTAGTAGTAGTAGTAGTATTTTCTCCAGCCATTTCTCACCCACCCTTCTACAAGGCACTCTATGCTCCCAGCCTTTCCTCCAATAAGATATACTCTCATGTGTATCCATTCTCTTGTACATTTGCACATACTCGCTCCTCTCCCTGAATTTGAAAAGCGAAGGATCCTCATCTTTACCTAGCCAAATTCTAAGATATCCTTCTAGGCTCATGTCAAGCACAACTTTCTCTGGGACACCAACTTGGTCCTCTCACATCCTAGATAGAGTTAAATATTCTCTTCTCTACACTAAGAAAGCACCTTATACATACGCGATCACTTTTTTCACACAATATTCTAAGGATTTATTTCCATGAAAACATTCCTTATTAGACTGGGCTGTAAACTTGCTGAAGGCCAAACTCATTGATACAAAGTAGAAACTCAATACATATTTCCTAAATTAATAAATGGATTGAGATACATTGGCAACAAGGGGTAGTAAGTAACAAACACAGTCCTGAAGAAAAACAGAACCACAGATGTTCAGAGTCACAAGTTACAGCATAGCAGAATTGTCAATATTCAACCAGACTTGTCAGAAAAGTCAGTTAGCATTTGAACTATCAACAGCCTCCAACAATCAGCCTGAGTTCTTGGGCATGTTGGCAGGGAAATGGAACAATATTACGCATATGCATACATGTATATCCTTCTGTGCCTGACCATGTGTTGTCTGGGGACAGCAAGTGGGATGTCTCTGCTTTGATTTCAAAACTAAATATATTTTGATAATTCTTGGATATCCTCTCTCAACAAAAATAATTGAAAGCCGACTGTACAACTAAGGCTTTTTTTAAAAAGGTAGTAGACACATGTGCTTAAATGGAATTTGTGGTGCTCTTTTCTATCACGTTCTCATTCTGAAACTGGTCAAATTTTGCTTTGCACAACTGCCTTACATCTGTTTAATCTAGCTTGTTCAGATTAGAAAAATGTATATATTTCAAACATGTCTTCTTTTTCTTTCTTTTTTTTTTTTTTTTTGAGACGGAGTCTCATTCTGTCGCCAAGGCTAGAGTGCAATGGCATGATCTCGGCTCACTGCAACCTCTGCCTCTGGGTTCAAGCAATTCTCCTGCCTCTCAGCCTCCTGAGTAGCTGGGATTACAGGTGCGTGCCACCATGTCCAGCTAATTTTTGTACTTTTAGTAGAGACAGGGTTTCACCATGTTTGGTCAGGCTGGTCTCGAACTCCTGATCTTGTGATGTCTTGTTTTTTAATGGTGCCATTAATCACTTGGAGCAAACAGTGACTTATTTGGAATATTTAGAAGTGGTTATAACCAATTTTTTAAAAGAAATTATCAATATAATTTTAAAAATTGCTCTATTACCATTGCTTGCTTGGCTGAACAAAATAGCGTATAAAGACTTCTTTTTATAAAGGTAAAAAATAAATCGCTGATACATTACATTCAGTTTGAAAAATAATTTTATTTTGTACCAATTCATCTCCAATAGGTTTGCATTAGAATAAAGTACAACTTTGAGTACATCATTGATTTGAGACCTTTATTCCTTTCTTAGTATATGTATTTTGATGCTATAAATTCCCCTTTAAACACTGCTTCAGCCACATCTAACAATTTTTATATATTGTATTTTCATTTTCATTTATTTCAAAATATTTTAATATTTCTTATCATGTCTTTTTTGACTCAGTGGTCAAAAGTGGTCAGGGGTCTTGTTTAATTCCCAAATGTTTTTTGGATTTTCCGGATATGCACCTGCTATTTTTTTCCAGTTTAATTCAGAGTACATCCTTTGTATGATTTCACTTCTCTTAAAATGTATTTGTGATGTTCCTGTCTGTATTTAGACTTAACTCTAACTTATCTCTAATCTAAAGGGACTAGAATGAAGTCTTCTATTGGTAGACTACCACTGTGATTAGGGCAACAATGTTGGGCCACGGTAACCTCCTCTATCTACACCTTTTAAGCAGGCAGCTTCCCTGTGCGCCATCCTCAGAAAGTTGTGTTTCTGATATAATGTATTAAACCACCTCCAGTGGATTTTGCCTGATTGGGATTCCATGTGCTTTCTCTACCAGAGCTAACTACATTTTCCCAGAGAATTCCAGGAGATCTAAAGGAATTACCCTAATAGTAGAATAGTAAGTTTGCAGTTCTTTATACCAAGTGTTGTTTTCAACACTAAAATCAATAGCAGTTAACTTGAATAACTGCTGGCCACACTCCAGGTGGACTTCAACAACAAATATTTATTGATCTCTTACCATGTTCCAGACATTTTCAAATACATTGTCTCATGCCTTTTCTGGAATGTAGTCAAAGCCTGTGTTATTAAATCTATTTTAAAAATGAGGACACTGAGGCCCAGGGAGTTTAGTTGCCATTCTCAGGACTACATAGCCAGTAAATAACAGTGTTGGGAATTCAAACAAAGACTGCCATATTTCAACGTTGTTGTTTTTCTACTACATATAGTACATGGTCTTAATGACATCACAATGACTTAAAAATTACACTGAGGTATCAATTAACTAGCCCTGAGAAAAGTAGGTAAATACTGCTCCCCATAGAGCCCCTGACAGACTGGTGGTTGGTTAGGGAATGAACAGATGTCATAGGCTTTTTCCGCTAAGAATCTGTCCAAGAAGTCAACCTGCCTATAAGCCACAATGTTTCTTCTGTTAAACTCATCTTCATGTCTAATGTAGGAGAGGGCCCCATGATAGGCCTTAACCCAATAAAAATACTTTCCCTGGCTGCTGGTTAAGGCCTTCAGTAATTTTCTCCATGGTGAACGTTTAATATAAGAGATCAGGATTAGAACCCTGATGCCCTGGGCAAAGAAGGGAGTAACTTCAATATACTTTAAAGGAAAATGAAGATTTTTAAGGCCTTTTCAAGAGTAGATATGGGAATATGCTGATAGAAATATCAAAGATGAGCCCAATCCTTCCAATTTTTTAAAAACATATTGATATATCATTGTTGTACATATTTGTGGGGTACACGTAGATATTTTGATAACCATACACAATCTGTAATGATCAAACCAGGCTAACTGGGATATCCACCACCTCAAATATTTATATTTTCTTTGTGTTGGAAACATCACAATTCTTCTCTTCTAGCTATTTTGAAACATAAAATAAATTATTGCTAACTATAATTTCCCTACTCTATTGTCAAATACTAAAACTTATTTTTCCTATCTAACTATTGTTGTACCCGTTAACCAACTTCTCTTCATCTCTCCCTCCTACCTTCCCTTGCTAGCATCTGGTAATCACCATTCTGCTCTCTACCTTCATGGGATCCACTTTTTTAGCTCTCACATATGAGTGAAAACAGGCAGAATTTGTCTTTCTGTCCCTGGCTTATTTTACTTAACATAATAACCTCCAGTTCCATCCATATTGCTTCAAAAAACAGGATTTTATTCTTTTAATAGCTGAATAGTATGTCATTGTGTATTTATACCACATTTTCTTTATTCTTTCATCCATTGATGGGCATTTAGGTTGATTAATAACTTGACTATTGTGAATAGTGTTAAAATAAATATGGGAGAGCAGAAATCTCTTTGACAGAACAATTTCCTTTCCTTTGGATATACATGCAGCAGCAGGATTGTTGGATCATATGGTAGTTCTATTTTTAGTTTTTGAAGAAGCTCCGTGCTGTTTTCTATAATGGCTGTACTACTTTACTTTCTCACCAACAGTGTAGGAGCATTTCCCTTTTCTCTGCATCCCTGTCAGCATTTGTTATTTTTCCTCATTTTGATAATAGCTATTCTAACTGGAGAGAGATGATATCTCACTGTGGTCTTGATTTGCATTTCTCTAATGATTAGCATGTAAATATTCTGAAGACCAGAAAAGGAAAAAGAACTACCCAAAGCCACACAGTGAGATGAAAATAGAATCCAGGTGACTGACTCTCCATCACATGCAAATACAGGTATTAAGAACCTGGAGGTAGTGTTTGGGCAGCAGTGAAAGGAAGTGGGTGGGCCAGATGGAGGAAGACTACAAAAGAAATTGGGGATTACCTACATCATAGTTTAGAGATGGGCTGTTTGGCCTTAAGTAACTGCCAAACTTAAATAAGTGGAATAATAATACCCCTCACTAAAAGGATTAAAAGAGATAATATACATTGAAGAATGTTTAAAGTTTGGCCCAGAGCAGTTATATAATAAAATACCATTTATAAATGATAATACAAATTCCTAAATTTTATTATGCATCAAAATCACCTGAAAGTCTTGTTAAAACACAGATTTTAGGCCCTGACTACCTTTTTTCTGATTGAGAATTTGCATTTCTAATAAGCCCCAGGTGATGCTGATGCTAATGGTCCAGAGAACCATGCTTTGAAAACTTTTGAGAAGATGAATCAGTGAAAACCTGGGTGAACCTCCCTTTTAGTTGCTATCCCAAATCTGGAAAAAACAATACATGTCGTCTGAAATATAAAACAAACAAAAACAAGTAAACCTATGGTTTTTCAAAAACCCTCCTTTTTGGACCTTAAAGGGTGTATAAAAAGGGTTTTTGGATTTGGTAAGTTCTAATATCTATGGCTCTGAAACGTTAAGATCCTATGAAAACTATTAATATTGTAGAGATTGAACATTTGCACAACACAAATCCCAAGTAGCCAACCCATTCAGGTAGGTACTAGGTCTGTTAGGCTTTTATTGCAGCCCCTTTGGTGACCCCACAACCACTCGATAAAACAGAAATCCGTACATAAGACACTAGACAAAATCCTAACTGGCCTCAATAAGAGTTCTTACCTAAGGATTAATCTGGAATAACAGCCATTGCTCTTCTGAGTGCTGAAAAGATCACATCATTAAACTACGTCTAGTGAGGAAAAAAGAGGCTATTCATGGACTCTGAACACATGCTTATGTTTTAGTTCCAACTGCTTATGCATTTGCATCTGTTTGCATTCTTGGAAATTTCATTGCCTTTTCTAGGATTACTGCAACAGACAAATATTGTACTGTGATGATCTTTCTATTGCTCTTCTGAGTCGTATACTCCAGAAACATCCTTGGAACATTTGGGATAGCTAATAGTTTTGTGATTATATTTCACAGGAATGAACAATGGAACTGAACAGGTGTGGAGTAATAAAAAAAGTACTGTATGAGTATAGAGGATTTATTTCCCCAAACTGCTTCTGCTACAGGCTGTGCCTAAATAAGCTAATTCACTTTTCTGACCCATTTCTTAATCTATAAACTTAAGGGAGTCACACAAACTCAGAGTGGCTGACCTTGCTTTGTGAACCAAAGTGAGTTGTATAATACCCATGAAAGTGGGAAGAAGTAAAAATAACTCTCATAACAAAAGAAAAAACAGCGTAGTACAGAGGGATGTAAAATTAAAATCACCCTCTTTACTCCTACCTCTTTTCAACTCCTCAGAAGTAATCAGTGTTAACAGCTCTTTGTGTAGCTTTTTGGACATTTTCTGTACATATATTAATATACATGTAATCTCTTTTATATTTTTAAATGATAAATATATAAATGTGTATACAAAACCAGTTTTTTCAGTTTAGACCCCATTTCATGCAATTATTTATTTCTTAGCTTTTTTTAAACTTACAAGTAATTTATTTGTCTTGATGTACCAGTGTTCTTTGCAGTTTATCAAAAAAGACTCAAATGCTTTAGATAATTGAGTGTAGGTGGCAGTTAATGAGTTTACCACCTTTAATGAAATTTAGGAATTTGACTTGCCATCTGTTTTAGTTAGGATACAGACCTGGCTACTATAACAGAGAAACACACAAACACAAAAGCCTAACAAGTTTTCAACAACATCAAAGTTTATTCTTCCTCATATACTGGTCCATAGGTGAGTAGTTCATAGTTGACAGGTTGGTTTTTCCATCCTGAAAACATTACTTTTATCTCTGGGTCTGTTCCAGGTCTTGTCATCTCCTAATCAGCAGAAGGAAAAGAAAGTCAGGGATGCACAGGTATGTTACTTTTAAAAAAAATCATCCTTACTTTTTGTTTATATTCTTTAGTAGAGCCTAGGATAATATTGTAAAGTTATCTATTGCTATGCAGCATGTCTCCAAAACTTAGTGACTTAAAGCAATAATGATTTATTATTTCTCACTGTTTTGTGGGGTTGACTGGGTAGTTCTCTGTTATCTCCTGGGCTCCATCATGTAGCTGCACTCAATTTATGAGTTGGTTAGTGTCTGGGCTCAGCTGGACCTTTCTCTCTATGTCGTCTTTATTCCAGTATTTTTCACAGTTAGGTTGGTTCAGAGCTCCAGGATAATAAATGTAACCGCAAGGCCTTATCTTATTTGCCATGTCCTATTGGTCTAAGCAGGTCACAAAGCCAGTCTAAATTCAAAATTTGGGGAAATAGATAGCCTTTTTTTAATAGTAAGTACATAAAGTCACATTACAAAGGTGCATGTACAAAAAGAGGTATGATTAATTGGGAGGAATTATTGTAAAAATCTACTATAGCCTGTTTTAGCCCCAATGATTCACACCTCTCCCACATGAAAAGCACATTCTGTTTCCTCCAAAGACTCCCAAAGTCTCATCCCATCACAGTATCAGGCACTAACTCCCTGATCTTATGATGTACATCAGGGTGGGATGTGGATGTGACTCCTTGGATACAGCTCCCCTTGATCCATAGACCTATGAAGACAGGTTGTATACTTTACCCATACTCAACATAAAATGGTGAGACAATGACAGAATAATAATAGACATGTCTACTGCAAAAAAATAAAGAAGAAGGTAGAAGTGGAAAGCATATAGCAGTCACTAGCCCACAGCAATTCCAAATGTCACAAAAGACTTATTACTAGGACTCCCTTCTCTAAGAACAATGTCTAGGACTAGAAAGTTTCCTTAATTAAGACAGTTCTGTTCCTTGAGAGTGGCTGCCTAATCCAATGTTCTTCGCAGCTCTGTTTTTTAATACTTTCAAAAATTATTTTATATTCAAGGGGTACATGTGCAGGTTTGTTACATGTGTAAATTACATGATGCTGAGGTTTGAGTATGATTGATCCTGTAACCCTGGTAGTGAGCATGGTACCCAATAGATTTTCAACCCTTATCCCCCTCCCCCTTCTAATAGTCCCCAGTGTCTATTGTTGCCATTGCTATGTCCATGTATTCCCAATGTTTAGCTCTCACTTACAAGTGAGAACATGTGGTATTTGGTTTACTGATCCTGCATTAATTCACTTAGGATAATGGCCTCCAGTTGCATCCATGCTGCTGCAAAGAACATGATTTCATTTTTTATGGCTGTGTAATATTTCATACTGTATATGTACCACATTTTCTTTCTCCAATTCACCATTTATGGGCATCTAATTTGATTCCATGTCTTTATTATTGTCAGTAGTGCTGCAATGAACATATGAGTGCATATGTCTATTTAGTAGTATGATTCATTGTTATTTGGATATATACCCAGTAATGGGAATGCTGAGTCAAATGGTAGTTCCAAGTTCTTTGAGAAATCTCCAAACTGTCTTCCACAAGAGTTGAACTAATTTATGTTCCCACCAACAGTGTCTAACTGTTCCCTTTCATCCTCAGCCTTATCAGAATCTGTTGTTTTTTGACTTTTCAATTATAGCCACTCCAACTGATGTGAGATGATGTCTCCTTGCGGTTGGTTTTGATTTGCATTTCTCTAATGATTAGTGATGTGGAGCATTTTTTATAAGTTTGTTGATAGCTTGTACGTCTTCTTTTGAAAAATGTCTATTCATGTACTTTACCAAGTTTTTAATGGGATTATTTGCTTTTTGCTTGTTGAATTAAGTTCCTTATAGATTCTGCGTATTAAACCTTTGTGAGATGCATAGTTTGCCAATATTTTCTCCCATTCTGTAGGATGTTTGCTCATGCTGTTGATATTTTTATTTACAGTGCAAAAGCTTAGTTTAGTTAGTTGCAGTGCAGAAGCTTAGTTTAGTTAGATCCCATTTGTCAATTTTTGCTTTTATTGCAATTGCTTTTGAGAACTTAGTAATAAATTATTTGTCAAGGGTGATGTCGAGAATAGTATTCCCTACATTTTCTTCCAAGTATTTTTATAGTTTGAGTCTCACATTTAAGTCTTTAATCCATCCTGAGTTAATTTTTTTATACGGTGAGAGGTAAGTGTCCAGTTTCTTTCTTTCACATGCGGCTAGCCAGCTACCCAGAACCACTTATTTAATAGGGAGTTCTCTCTCCATAGCTTATTTTTGTCAACTTTGTCAAATATCAGACGGATATAGGTGTGTGGCTTTACTTATTCTTTCTCTATTCTATTCCCTTGGTCTATGTGTCCATTTTTGTACCAGTACCATGCTGTTTTGATTACTTTACCCTTATAGTATAGTTTGAGTCAGCGACTGTGATTCCTCCAGCCTTGTTTATTTTGCATGAGGTTGCTTTGGCTATCCAGTCTCTTTTCTGCTTCCATATGAATTTTAGACTAGTTTTTTCCAATTCTGTGAAAAACGATATTTGTAGTTTGATAGAAATAGCATTGAATCTGTGGATTGCTTTGGGCAGAATGGCCATTTTGACATTGATTCTTCCAATCCATGAATACTGAATGGTTTTTTGTTTGTTTTTCATTTATTTTATTTTTTAATTTTATTTTTCCATAAGTTATTGGGGTACAGGTGGTATTTGGTTACGTGAATAAATTCTTTAATGCAGATTTGTGAGAATTTGGTGCACCCATCACTCAAGCAGTATACACTGCACCATATTTGTTGTCTTTTATCCCTCACCCCCCTCCCACTCTTCCCTCCAAGTCCCAAAGTCCATTGCATTATTCTTATGACTTTGCATCCTCATAGCTTAGCTCCCACATATCAGTGAGAACATATGATGTTTGGTTTTCCATTCCTGAGTTACTACATTTGGAATAATACTCTCTAATCCCATCTAGGTCATTGCAAATGCTGTTCATTCCTTTTCATGGCTGAGTAGTATTCCATTTTATACATATACCAGAATTTCTTTATCTACTCATTGATTGATGGGCATTTGGGTTGGTTCCACGATTGTGCTATTGTGAATTGTGCTGCTATAAACATGCATGTGCAAGTATCTTTTTCGAATAATGACTTCTTTTCCTCTGGATAGATACCCTGTAGTGGGATTGCTGGATCAAATGGTAGTTCAACTTATTGTTCTTTAAGGAATCTCCACACTGTTTTCCATAGCGGTTGTACTAGTTTACACTCCCACCAGCAGTGTAGAAGTGTTCCCTGATTGCCACATCCACACCAACATCTACTGTTTCCTTTGTTTGTGCCATCTATAATTTATCTTAGCAGTGTTTTGTAGTTCTACTTGTAGAGATCTTTCACCTCCTTTGCTAGGTGTGTTCCTAGGGGAAGGTGTGTGTGTGTGTGTGTGTGTGTGTGTGTGTGTGTGTGTGTGAAACTATTGTAAATGGAATCTCTTTCTTGATTTGGCTCTGAGCCTGAATGTTATTGGTATATGGAAATAGTACTAAATTTTGTACATCGATTTTGTATCCTGAAATTTTACTAAAGTTGTTTTTCAATTCTAGGAGCCTTTTGTCATAGTGTTTAGGGTTTTCTAGGTCATCAGTGAAGAGAGATAAATTAACTTCTTCTCCTATTTGAATGCTTTTTATTGGTTTCTCTTGACTAAAAATAAATTTTAAAATTAAGTAAATATTCTTGTATTTTTTCAATATAGCATTGTGTATTTTTGCACTTGTGTTAATCTTATATGGGATAAGTCCCTTGAGTAGAATTAAATGAATGTCTTATATTTTAAACTTTTAGCAATTATGTTTTAGATGTATTTTCTATACATACAAAAATTAACTCTTTTGCACAAATGTATACTTCGTATTCATGCTATTAGATTAGTGCCCCTTCAGGATACACACACACACATTTTATGTAGTTTTATTTTTATTTCAGTTGTCCCACCCACAAAAATCAAGTAAACTACAGGATTAAATTATATTTAAGATCCCATTCAGAGCTACAATTCCACTAGTTTCACATAAGTCTTCTTACTACATAAAGCCTTGGAGCATGTGTGTGTGTGATAATTTTAAAAACACAAGTCAACTTATACTGTTTCTATGTTTTATCCACACTGTGGCATGTTCTTTATTTATTGTTATGGCTTGATAATGTTCTATTGCATGGCTATTCCGTACTTTGTTTATCCATTTATCACTTGTACATCTGGGTTGTTTCCACTTTTTGGATATTACAAATAAGGTTGCTAACAAACATTAGTGCACAAATTTTTATTCAAACATCTATTTTCAATTATTTTTGTATGTACCTAAAAGCTGAGGGAAAGACATCAGACACAAAGGGCCACATATCATATGATTCCATTTATATGAAATAAAGAGAACAAGTAAATCCAAGGAGCAGGTTAATAATTTTTAAGGCCTGGGAGGAGCAAGGAACAGAGACTGATTGCTTAATGGTACAGAGTTTCTTTGTAGAGCAAGGAAATTATTCTAGAATTAGTTGTGATGATGATACAACACTATAAATTACTAAAATCCACTGAATTGTACAACATAAACATGCTTAAAATGGTGAATTTTGTGCATAAATTTATTTCAAAACAAGTTTAAAGACAAAATTATGTGGCATAGTATAATGTTACATGAACTATATGGATTTATATTTTTGAGTAAGATTCACACACAAAATTCAAAATGTAAATCCATATAGTTCATGTAACATTATACTATGCCACATAATTTTGTTTTTAAACCTGTTTTGAAATAAATTTATGTGAATGTTGACAAAATAGCAAAGAGTTTCCATATACCCTTTACTTAGCTTCTCTTATGTTAACATCTTACAAAACCATTGTACAATTATCAAAACCAGTGTACTGTACTATACTACTATTATCTAAAAACTTCATTCAAACTTCACCAGTTTTTCTACTTATCCCCAATTGCATGTAGTTCTCATGTACCTTTAACATGCTTAAGTCTAGGCCAGGCAAGGTGGCTCATGCCTGTAATCCCAGCAATTTGGGAGGTCGAGGAGGGCAGATCACCTGAGGTCGGCAGTTCCAGACCAGCCTGACCAACATGGAGAAAAACCATCTCTACTGAAAATACAAAATTAGCCGGGCGTGGTGGCGCATACCTGTAATCCCAGCTACTCGGGAGGCTGAGGCAGGAGAATTACTTGAATCCGGGAGGCAGGGGTTGTGGTGAGCTGAGATTGCACCATTACACTCCAGCTTGGGCAACAAGAGCGAAACTCCGTCTCAAATATATATACATACATATATTTGCTTAAGTCTGTAAGAGCTTTCCTATCTTTGCCTATCTTTTAGGACCATTTTCATGCCTGTCTTTTGACACTTTTGAATTGCTCAGTTATTTATAGAATAGCCTTCAGTTTTAGTTTGTCTGGTTTTCTCTTGATTAGATTGAAGTTATCATTTTTTAAAAGAATATCACAAAAGGGATATTATGCTCTCTCAATGCATCACTTCAAGGAATCCAGGATGTCAACATGTCTCATTATGAGAGACGTTAACCTTAAGCATATTGTTAAGGTGTTTTCTATTGAGTTTCTCCATCTTAAACTTACTAGTTTTTCCTTTTTATTTAAAAAATATTCTGTTTATTCAATCATCAGCTCATGGACATGTGGGTTGTATGTGTTTTTTTGTTTTTTGTTTTGCTATGAATATTCGCATGACTCTTTGTGTAGACATATATTTTCAATTCCATATATTTTCTTGGTTAATGCCAAGGAGTGGAATTGTTGAGCCATATGATAACCTTCTGTTTAACTTTTTGAGGAAATGTCCAACTGTTCTTCAAAGTGGTCACACCACTTTATGTTTCCTTCAGCAGTGTATGAGTGTTCCAATATTTCCACATCCTCACTAACATTAGTTTTTGGCTGTTGTTTTTATTCATACAAGTGGATATAAAGCTTTATCTCATTCCAGTTTTGATTTGCACTTCTTTATTGACTGCTAACACTGAGAGCTTTTTATGTGCTTATTAGCCATTTCTATAACTTCTTTGGGGAAATGCCTATATTTTGTTGAGATGTAAGAGTTTGTTTTTGTATACTCTGAATACTAGACCCTTGTCAGAAATATTATTATGCAAATATTTTCACCCATTCTGTGGGGTTACTTTTCATTTTCTTAACAGTGTCCTTTTGAAAAATAGATAAATTGGATTTCATCAAAATTAAACACTTTGAATCACCAAAGTGGTGATTCAATAGATAAATCCAATTTATCTATTTTTCCTTTTGTTGCTTGTACTTTCAGTGTTATATCTAAGAATTCGTTGCTAAACACATGGTCACAAAGATATGCCCTAAGTTTTGTTCTAAGAGTTTTAAAAATTTAGCTCTTATATACAGGTATTTAATCCATTTTGAGCTAAATTTTATATATAGGGTGAGGTAGTAGTCCATTGAATTTGGATAGCCAGTTGACCCAGCACCTCCTATTGAAAAGACTATATTTGTCCTTACTGAATTTTCTTGGCTCCCTTGTTGAAAATCAATTAACCATAAATGTATGAATTATACCCTATGTCACTACAACTTGTCCCCTCTCCACTGGGCCAGGGGAGAACTCAGTGCTCTGAAGTAAGAAACACAAGCCTGGCTGGATTAAACACTTGTTGACTGAAGAGCACTTGGGCCTCGAGTAAAGATCTGTGGTAGCCAGGAAGTGGTTGCTGCAGGCCTTGAGTAAGAACCAGTCTTACACTGGCTTCAGGGCTCATCTGGTAGTATCTCAGTGGTGGTGGCCAATGAGGTGCTTGTATTACCGTTCCCCAAGCTCCAGGGATCTCAGCACAGAGAGAGTCTCCATTTGTTAAAGGAAAAGTAAGGGAAAAAACAAGAATCTCTGCCCAATAATCCAGATAATTCTTCCAGATCTTTTCCAAGACCACCATGAAGGTACTCTAAGGGTCTCCAGGGACCACAACATTACTGGGCTTAGGGCGCCCCCTAATGCAGATACAGCTTAGATCACAACACCCAATTACTTTCAAATCTGGAAAGCCTTCTCAGGAAGAATGGCTACAAGTAAGCCTAGACTGCAAAGACTATAATAAATGTTTATCTCTTTAATACCCAGACAGTAATGAACATCCACAAACTTCAAGGTCATCAAGAAAAACATGACCTCCCTCACAAAGCAAGCTAAATAAGGCACCAGGGATCAAACCTGAGAAAGACACATATGTGATCTTTCAGACAGAGAATTCCAAATAGCTGTGTCAGAGAAAACTCAATTAAAAATAATACATAAAAGGAATTCAGAATTCTATCAAATAAATTTTTAAAAGAAATTGAAATACTTTTTTTAAAAATCAAGCAAAAATTCTGCAGCTGAAACATGCAACTGACATACTTAAAAATGCACCAGTCTCTCAACAGAAGAATTGATCAAGCAGCAGAAAGAATTAGTGAGCTTGAAGAGAGACTATTTGAAAATACAGTCAGAGGAGACAAAAGAAAAAAATAAAAAAGAATAAAGTACACCTACAATATCTAGAAAATAGTCTCACAGGGGTAAATCTAAGAGTTATTAGCCTTAAAGGAGAGGTAGAGACAAAGATTGGGCTAGAAAGTTTATTTAAAGGAATAACAACAGATAACATCCCACACATAGAGAAAGACATCAATATTCAAGTACAAGAGTATTGTAGAACACCAAGCAGATTTAACTCAAAGAAGACCACCTCAAGGCACTTAATAATCAAACTCCCAAAAGTCAATGATAAAGAATGTATCCAAAAAGCAGCAAGAGAAAATAAACAAATAACAAAAAAAGGCTCCAGTACATGCGGCAGAAGACATATTAATAGAAACCTTACAGGCCAGAAGAGGGTGACATGGCATATTTAAAGTGCTGAAGGAAAAATACTTTTACCATAGAATAGTATACCTGGGGAAAACATCTTTTAAATGTGAAGGAGAGATAAAGACTTTCCCAGACAAACAGAAGCTGAGTGATTTTATCAACATTGGACTTATCATACAACAAATGCTACAGGGAATTCTTCATTTGGAAAGAAAAGGAAATTAATGAGCAATAAAAAATCATCTGAAGGGACAAAACTCACTGATGATAACAATAAGTACACAGAAAAACACATAATATTATAACACTGTAATTGTGGTATGTAAAGTACTCATATCTCAAGTAGAAAGGTGAATAAATGAACCAATCAAAAATAATAATAACAACAACTGTTGAAGATATATACAGTACAATAGGGTATAGAAAGAAAGAACAAAAAGTGAAAAATCAAGGAGACAAAGGTAAAGCACACACTTATTAGTTTTCTTCTTGCTTGTTTGTTAGGTTCTTTGTTTTCACAATCAGTGTTAACTTGTCATCAGTTTAAAATAATGGGTTGTAAGATGTTATTTGCAAGTCTTATGGTAGCCTCCAATAAAGAAATCTACAACGGATAGACAAAAAATAAAAAGCAAGAAGCTCAAACATACCAGCAGAGAAAATCATCTTCCTCAAAGGAAAACAGGAAGAAAAGAAGAAAGAGAAGACCAAAAGAGAACCAGAAAACAAATAAGAAAATGCAGACGTGAGTCCTTACTTATAACATTGAATGTAAATGGAATAAACGCTCCAAAAAAAAGTCAAAGAATGACTGAATGAATTAAATAAAACAAGCCCCAACAACCTACACAGCATGAAAATAAAGGGATAGGAAAAGATATTCCATGCAAACAGAAACCAAAAATGCAAGAGTAGCTATACTTATATCAAACAAAATAGATTTCAAGACAAAAATTATAAGACGAGACAAAGAAGGTCATTAAATAATGAAAAAGGTAGCAATACAGCAAGAGAATAAAACAATTGCAAATATATGCAACCAGATGTATAAACAACCAGATGTATAAGCAACCAGATGTATAAAACCAATATTATTAGAGCTAAAGAGAGAGACAAACTACAAAATAATAAAAGCTGAAGAGTTCAAAACTCCACTTTTAGCACTGGACAGATTATCCAGACAGAAAATAAACAGAGAAACATGTAACTTAATCTGCAATGCGAATCAAATGGACCTAATAGATATTTACAAAAAATTTTATACAACAGCTGCAGAATACACATTTTTGTCCTCAACACATGAATCATTCTCAAGGACAGATCATCTATTAACCCACAAAACAAGTCTTAAAACATTCAAAAAAGTAAAATTATACCATGCATCTTCTCCAACCACAATGGAATGAAACTAGAAATAAATGACAAGAGGAATTTTGAAAACTATACAATCACATGGAATTTTTTTTCATTGTTTCTGAGTGAACAGTGGATAACTAAAGAAATTAAGAAGACAATTTAAAAATTTATTTAAACGAATGAAAAAAAACACAACACTATTGTATACGGTAACTGCGGTTCTGACAAGAAAACTTATAGCAATATATGCCTATATCAAAAAAGTAGAAAAGGAAGAGGTGGAGCAAGATGGCAGAATAGAAGACTCCAAGGATTGTTCCCTCTGCAAGAACACCAAGTAAACAGCTATCTACCCAGAAAAAAAAAGAAAAGAAAAAAGAAAACCTCCATAAGAGCCAAAAATCAGGTGAGGATTCATAGTACCTGTTTTTAACTTCGTATTTCCAAAAAGGACACTAAAGAGATAGAAAAAAACAGTCCCGATTCACCAATGCCATCTCTCCACCACCCCAGGCAGCAGCTCTGTGGTGCAGAGAGCTTCTCTGGGTGATGAGGGAGGGAGAACATAGTAAATGTGAGGCATGGATCTCAGTGCTGTCCTATTAGAGCAGAAAAGAAAACCAGAACAAACTCAGCTGATGTCTGCCCCAAGAGGAAACGTTTAAACCAGCCCTAGCCAGAGAAGAATTGCTAATCCCAGAAGTCCAATCCTGAATGCCCACAAACCTTGCCACTGAGAGGGAAAGTGTCCTCTGTCTCTAAACTTGAAAAGCAGTCTAGGCCATAAGGACTGCAACCCAGGCAAGTCTTAGTGTTAGCAGTGGCAAATCCATACAAGTCTGCTGCAACCTCAATTCTTGCCTCCTCAGAAGAAAATTCAACTGAGAGCCATAAGGCAGAGGGAGAGATTGAGGCCAGTTTTAGGGTAGGAGTGAAAGTTAATTAAAAATTTTTAGAGCAGGAATGAAAGGAAGTAAAGTACACTTGCAAGGGGGCCAAAAGAGCGACTTGAGAGAGTCAAGTGTGTCATTTGACCTTTGACTTGAGGTCTTATATGTTGGCATGTTTCTGGGGTTGCATTAATTATCCCCTGATTCTTCCCTTGGGGTGGGCTGTCCATATGCACAATGACCTGTTAGCATGTGGGAGGAGTCACATGCACAATGTGTTTACTGAAGTTATACACATGTGCACTTGAGGTGTTCTTCCTTTACTCGTCAAGTATCCTAGAGGAAGGTCATATACTAGTTGAATTCCACCACCCAAAATTTCATCATGAATTGTAATCCCCATTATCCCTATGTGACAAGGGCAGGACCAGGTGAAGGTAATTGGATCATGGAGGCAGTTTCCACCATGCTGTTTTTATGATAGTGAGTGAGTCTCACGAGACCTGATGGTTTTATAATTTCCCCTGCTTGCACTCACTCAGTCCTACTGCCCTGTGAAGAAAGTACCTGCTTCACCTTTGCCTTCTGCCATGATTGTAAGTTTCCTGAGGCCGCCTCAGC
The DNA here is from genome assembly GCF_000001405.40 of Homo sapiens. Classification (NCBI taxonomy): domain Eukaryota; kingdom Metazoa; phylum Chordata; class Mammalia; order Primates; family Hominidae; genus Homo; species Homo sapiens. Next base: position 78,592,330 of record NC_000023.11, on the reverse strand, counting down.
AATGCAGAAGTCTGAGTCAATTAAACCTCTTTCCTTTCTAAATTACCCAGTCTCACGTATTTATTCATAGCAGTGTGAGAATGGACTAATAAAAGTTCTGACTCAGCATATTCATAGTGGTGGTGGCCACAGGGGTGCTTGTGTCACTCCACCTCCAGTTTTAGGTAGCTCAGAACAGAGATAGAAACTTTGTATATTTAAGAGAAAGTAAATGAAGATAACAAAAGTCTCTGCCTGGTAATCAAGAGAATTCCCCCAAATCTTGTCCAAGGCCATCAATGTGGTACCTCTACAAGTATTCAAGAACCAAAGCATTACCAGGCTTGGGGTGCCGCCTACACCAGAAATAGCTTAGATCACAACATCCAGTGTTTTTCAAATAGCTGGGAAGCATTCCAGAGAAAAACAGCTACAAATAAGCACAGACGGTGAATACTACAATAAATACCTAACTCTTGAAGACCTAGACACAAAACATCTACCAGCATCAACACCATCTAGGAAATTATGACCTCAAAAAATAAACTAAATAAAGCACCAGGGACCAATTGGAAGGAAGAGACACATGTGAACTTTCATACAGAGAATTCAAAATCGCTCTGTTAAGAAAACTCAAGGAAATTCAAGATAACACAGAGTAGGAATTCAGAATTCTATCAGATAAATTTAACAACGAGGTTGAAATAACTAAAAAGAATATAGCAAAAATTCTGGAGCTGAAAAATACATTTGACATACTGAAGAATGCATCAGAGTCTTTAATATCAAAATGAATCAAGGAAGGAAAGAATCAGTGAGTTTGAAGACAGGCTATTTGAAAACACAGAGCCAGAGGAGGCAAAAGAAAAAAAAACAATCAGATCTACATGATCTAGAAAATAACCTCAACAGGGTAAATCTAAGAGTTATTGGCCTTAAAGAGGAGGTAGAAAAAGAGATAGGAATAGAAAGTTTTTTCAAGGGGACATTAACAGAGAACTTCCCGAATGTAGAGAAAGATACCAATATTCAAGTACAAGAAGGTTATAGAACACGAAGCAGATATAACTAAAATAAGACTACCTCAAGGCATTTAATCATCAAACTTTCAAAGGTCAAAGATAAAGAAAGGATCCTAAAAGCAGCAAGAGAAAAAATAAATAAATAAAATACAAAGGAGCTCCGTTACATTAGGCAGCAAACTTTTCAGTGGAAGTCTTACAGGCCAAGAGACAGTGGCATGACATATTTAAAGTGTGGAAGAAAAAAAAAACTGTTACCATATATCATATAATAAAATATCTGAAAAAATTCTTCAAACATGAAGGAGAAATAAAAACTTTCTCAGACAAACAAAAGCTGAGGGATTTTATTAATACCAGAGCTATCCTACAAGAAATGATAATTTCTTCAATCAGAAAAAAAAGTCATTAATGAGCCATAAGTAATCACCTGTAGGTACAAAATTTACTGGAAATAGTAAGTACACAAAAAATACACAATATTATAACACTGAACTGTGGTTTGTAAACTACTCTTACCCTAAGTAGAAAGACTAAATGATAAACCAATAAAAAATAGTAACTATAACATATTTTCAAGACATAGTACAATCAGATATAAATAGAAACAACCAAAAGTGGGACAAAGTTGAGAAGAGTTTTTTATTAGTTTATTTTTGTTTGTTTGTTTCTCTACACAAGTAGCCTTAAGTTGGTATGAGGTTAAAATAATGGGTTCTAAAATAATATTTGCAAGCCTCATGATAACCTAAAACCAGAAAACATACAATGGATACACAAAAAATAAGAAGCAAAAAACTAAATTATATCACCAGAGAAAATTATCTTCACCAGCAGAAGACGGGAATAAAAGAAAAAAAGAAAGAGAAGACCACAAAACAACCAGAAAACAAATTACAAAGTGGCAGGAGTAAGTCCTTATTTATAAATAATAACATTGAATGCAAACGGACTAAATTTCCCACTTAAAAGACATAGAATGAATAATATATATATATATACATATATATATATCCCTTGATCTTTTGCCTAAAACAAACATACTTCACCTATAAAGACACACACAGACTGAAAATAATGAGATGGAAAGGATATTTTATGCTAATAAAAAATAAAAAAAGCATGAGTCACTATATTATATCAGACAAAATAGGTTTCAAGACAAAAATTTACAAGAGATAAAGAAGGTCACTATATAATGATAAAGGGCTCAAATCAGCAAATATATATGATTTTTATATATCATTATAAAATTATACCTATATCATTTATTATATATGATATGTATTTTATATGTCAGTATAAAATCATATAATTTTAAATATATATGCACCCAACACTGGAGCACCCCGATATATGAACCAACTATTATTAGAGCTAAAGAGAGAGATAGGCTCTAATACAATAATACCTGGAGGCTTTAACACCCCAATTTCAGCATTGGACAGGTCTTCCAGAAAGAAAATCAAGAAACATCAGACTTAACCTACACTATAGACCAAAATAATCTAATAGCTATTTACAGAACATTTTATCCAAGAGCAGCAGCATACACATTTTTCTCTTCAGCACAAGGTATATTCTCAAGAATAGATCGTAACTTATAGTATACAGCAAAAGCAGTAGTAAGAGGGAATTTTATAGCTGTAAGTGACAACATCAAAAAGAGAATAATCTTCAAATAAACAATCTAACAATGCATCTTTAAAAACTAGAAAACCAAGGGCAAACCAAACCAAAATTACCAGAAGAAAAGAAATAATAAAAATCAGAGAAGACATAAATGAAATTAAAATAAAAAACAAAGAAAATTAATGAAACAAAAAAATTGTTTTTTAGAAAAGTTTAAAAAATGACATATCTTTATTCAGACTTAAAAAAAGAGAAAAAATGCAAATAAGCAAAATCAGGAATGAAAAAGGAGACATTACAATTGACACTGCAGAAATTCAAGGAATCATCAGTGGCTACTATGACAAACTATATACCAATAAATTGGAATATCAAATTTCTAGATGCATAAATCCTACCAAGATTGAAACATGAAGAAATCCAAAACATGAACAGGCCAATAACAAATAGCAAAATCAAAGCCATAATAAAAAATCTCCCAGTAAAGAAAGTCCAGGACCTAAGGGCTTCACTGCTGAATTCTACCAAACATTTTTTAAAAATCTAATACCAATCTTACTCAAACTATTCCGAAGAATAGAGGAGAAGGGAATACTTCCAAACTCATTTTACAAGGCCAATATTACCATGATACCAAAACCAGGCAAAGGCACGTCATAAAAATAAAGCTGCAGGCCAATATCTCTGATGAATATTGATGCAAAAATCCTCAACAACACACTAGCAAACCAAATTCAACAATACACTAGAAAGAATACTCATCAAGTCAAAGTGGATTTATCCCTGGGATGTAAGGATGGTTCAACATATGCAAATCAAACAATGTGATACATCATATCAATAGAATAAAAAATAAAACTACATGATCATTTCAAAAACATTTGTTAAAATTCAACATCCTTTCATTATAAAAACCTTCAAAAAACTGGGTGTAGATAAAACATACCTTAACATAACAAAAGCCACATAGGACAGACCCACAGCTAATATTACCCTGAATGTGGAAAATGTGAAAACCTTTTCTATAAGATCTGGAACACGACAAGGATGCCTACTGTCACCACTGTTATTCAACATAGTACTGGAAGTTCTAGCTGGGACAATTAGACAAGACAAAGATGTAACGGGCATCCAAGATGGAAAGGAAGAAGTAAAAATATCACTGTTTGCAGATAATATATTTGGAAAAATCTAAAGGTCCTACCAAAAAAAATTAGAACTGATAAATAAATTCAGTGAAGTTGCAGGATACAAAACCAATATACAAAAATCAGTAGCATTTGTATATGCCAACAGTGAACAATGCAAGAAAGAAATATAAAGTAATCTCATTTACAATAGCAACACATAAAATTAAATACCTAGGAATAAACTTAACCAAATAAATGAAAGATTTATATAATGGAAATTATAAAACACTGATGAAAGTAATTGACAAGGACACAAAAAATGGGAAAATATTTCATGTTTATGGATTAAAAGAATCAATATTTTTTAAATGTCCATACTACCCAAGGCAATCTACAGATTCAGTTCAATCCCTTTCAAAATATCAATGACGATCTTCACAGAAATATTTAGAAAGAATCCTACAATTTGTATGGAACCACAAAAGACCCAGAATAGCCAGTGTTATCCTATGGGAAAAAAAAAAGAAAAAAACAAAACAAAGCTGGAGGAATCATGTCACTTGACTTCAAATTATACTACAGAACAATAGTAACCAAAACAACATGGTACTGGCATAAAAACATACACATAGACCAATGGAACAGGATAGCAAATGCAGAAACAAATCCACACCCTACAGTGAACTCATATTTTGACATACTTGCCAATAACATACACTGGGGAAAAAACAGTCTTTTCGATAAATGGTGCTGTGAAGACTGGATATCTATATGCAAAAGAATGAAACTGGACTCCTATCTCTGATTACATAAAACCATTAAATAAAAAATAAAAATGGATTAAAGACTTAAACCTAAGACCTCAAGCCATGAAACTACTACAAGAAAACATTGGGGGAATACCTAGGACTTTGGTCTTGGCAAAAATTTCTTGAGGAATACCCCACAAGCACAGGCAACCAAAGCATAAACAGACAAATGTGATTACGTTAAGTTTATAAAGCTTGTGTACAGCACAGATACGATCAACAAAGTGAAGAGACAACCCACAAAATATGAGAAAATATTTACAACCTACCCATCTGCCAAAAGATTTTTAACAAGAATACATAAGGAACCCAAACAACTCTATAGGAAAAAATATAATAATCCAATCAAAGGATGGGCAAAGATTTGAATAGATATTTCTCAAAAGAAGACATACAAATGGCAAACTGGCATATGAAAACGTGCTCAGCATCTTTGATTGATCATCAGAGAAATACAAATCAAAACTACAATGAGATATCATCTCACTGCAGTTAAAATGGCTTATATACAAAAGAAAGTCAGTAATAACAAATGCTGATGAGGCTATAGAGAAAAGGAAACCCTTGTGTACTGTTGGTGCTAATGTAAATTAGTAAAACCACTATGGAGAACATCTTCATGGTTCCTCAAAAAACTGAAAATATAGCTACGATATGATTCAGCAATCCCACTGCTGGGTATATACACAAAAGAAAGGAAACCAGTCTGTCAAAGAAATATCTGCACTTTTATGTTTGCCACAGCACTGTTTACAATAGCTAAAATTTGGAAGCAAACTAAGTGTCTATTATTAGGTAAATGGATAAAGAAAATGTGGTATATATACACAATGGAGTATTATTCAGCCATAAAAAACAGTGAGTTCCAGTCATTTGCAGCAACATAGATAGAACTAGAGATCATTGTTATGTGAAATAAACCAGGCACAGAAAGACAAATGCTGCATGTTTTCACTTATATGTGAGATATAGTAATTAAAACAATTGAACTCATGGAGCTAGAGAGTAGAAGGATGGTTACCAGAGGCTGGGAAGGGAAATAGAGGTCCAGAGGGGAGATTGGGATGATTAATTGGTACACACAATAGAAAGGATAATAGAAACCTACTATTTGATAGCAAACAGGGTGACTACAGTCAACAATAACTGTACATTTTTAAATAATGAGTATAATTGGATTGTTTGCAACTCAATGGAAAAATGCTTAAGGAGATGTATACCCCATTATTTATTATGTACTTATTTCACATTGTATGCCTGTGACAAAACATCCCATGTGCCCCATAAATATATACACCTACTATATACACACAAAATTAAAAATTTTAAAAATTTAAAAGTAGACAAATGTCAAGTAAATGGCTTATTAATGCATCTTAAAGAACTAGAATAGCAGCCGGACGCGGTGGCTCACGCCTGTAATCCCAGCATTTTGGGAGGCCGAGACGAGCAGATCACGAGGTCAGGAGATCGAGACCATCCTGACTAACACGGTGTAAACCTCGTCTCTACTAAAAATACAAAAGAATTAGCCAGACGTGGTGGCGGGTGCCTGTAAGTCCCAGCTACTCCAGAGGCTGAGGCAGGAGAATGGTGTGAACCCAGGAGGCGGAGCTTGCAGTGAGCCCAGATCGCACCACTGCACTCCAGCCTGGGCGACAGAGCTAGACTCCATCTCAAAAAAAAAAAAAAATTATTGAACAGACAACCCACAGAATCTAAGAAAATATTTGCAAACTGTTCCTCTGACAATGGATTAATAACCAGAATATGTAAGCGGATGAAACAGCTCTATAGGAAAAAAAATCCAATAATCCAATTAAAAATTGGCAGAAGATTTAAAGAGACATTACTCAAAAGAAGACATACCAATGACAGATATATGAAAAGGTGCTCAGTGGTATTAATCATTAGATAAATGCAAATCAAAACTACAATGAGACATCATCTCACACCAGTAAAAATGGCTTTTATCTAAAAGACAGGCAATAAGAAATGCTAGTGTGGCTGTGGAGCAGAGGAAACCCTGATACACTGTTGGTGGGAATGTAAATTAGTACAGCCACTATGGAGAACACTATGGGGGTTCCTTAAAATGTAAAGATAGAACTACCATGTAATCCAGCAATCTTACTTCTAAGTACATATCCAAAAGAAAGGAAATCAGTAGATCTTTACACTCCATGTTTATTGCAACACTATTCACAATAGCCAAATTTTGGAAGAAACTTAAGTTTCCATCAAGAAAGTAATGGGTAAAGAAAATGTGTTACATATACACAATAGAGTACTATTCAGCCATAAAAAGAATGAGATCCTGTCATTTGCAACAACTTGGATGTAACAGAAAGACAAATTTTACAGGTTCTCAGACATTTGTAAAAGCCAAAAATTAAAATAATTGAATTTATGAAGATAGAGAGTAGAAGAATGGTTACCAGAGGCTGTCAAGCATAATGGGAGACAGGGATGTGGAAATAGTTAATGAACGCAAAAATATAGTTAGATAGAATAAATTATGTCTAGTATTTGATAGCACAACAGGGTGACTACAGTCAACAATAATTTATTATACAGTTTAAAGTAACTAAAAGTATAATTGAAATGTTTTTAACCCACACAAAAAAAGTAAGTGCTTGAGGTAGTGGATATGTCATTTACCCTGATGTGATTATTAAGCAGTCTATTCCTGTATCATGTACCCTATAAATATATACACCTAATATGTATTATAAGGTATATTATCTCATGTACCCTATAAATATATATACCTAATACATACTCATAAAAATTAAAAATAAAAAATATTCCTTTTTTTCTCTCCAATCTGAATATTAATTTCTTTTTCTTTCTAATTGCCTTGGTTAGAACTCCCAGTACTATGTTAAATAAAAATGGCAAGATAAGACATCTTTGGCTTGTTTCTGATCTTACAGAGACAGCATTCATCTTTTTAGCCATAAAATTTTCAAATGCCCTCTATCATAGTCAGGAAGTTCCCTTCTCTTAATTTCTTAAATATTCTTGTCATGAAATGATGTTAAATTTTGTTAATGTTTTCTCAACACCTATTGAAATGATCAGAGGTTTCTGTTCTTTGTTTTATGAATATAAATATTACGTGATTGATATTTATATGTTTAACCAACTTTGCATTTACTAATACAATCCAACTTTGTCATGATGTATAATTATTTTATATGTTGCTGGATTCAGTTTGCTATTATTGTGTTACAAATTTTTGAATTTATGTTCATGAGGTATGTTAGTCTTATTATTGTAAGGTTTGCATAACAATAATATTGGCTTCATAAATTGAGTTTAAATGTGTTCCTACATATTCTATTTTTTGGAAAAATTTGGGGAGAATTTGTATTAATTTTTGTTTAAAAATTTGTAGATGGACATAAGCTGTTTTATACTTTGGCTATTATGAATAATGCTGCAATAGACACGAGGGTTTATATAACTATGATTTGTCATTTGTTAAAAAAAAAACACAAAATTCACCAATGATGTCTGCATTAGGCTGTGCTCACATAGATATGAAGAAATCCCTGAAGCAGGGCAATTTATAAAGAAAAGAGGTTTAATTGGCTTACAGTTCTGCAGGTTGTACAGGAATCATAGTGCTGGCATCTGCTTCTGGTGAGGGCCTCAGGGAGTTTACAATTATAATGGAAGTTGAAGAAGAAGCCAGCATAACACATGGTGAGAGCAGGAGCAAGAGAGAGCAAGGAGGAAAGGTGTCACATACATTTAAACAACCAGATCTTATGAGAAATAATTTAATATCACAAGGATACCTTCAAGGAGATTATACAAAACCATTCATGAGAAATCTGTGCCCAAAATCCAATCACCTGACTGCAGGCCCCACCTCCACTAGTGGAGATAACATTTCAACATTAGATTTGGCAGGAAAAAAATATTCGAAATATATTATCCCACCCCCAATCCCTCAAATATAATATTCTTCTCAGATTGCAAAATACAATCACCTTCTTCCAATAGTCCCCCAAAACTCTCAACTCCTTTCAGCATCACACAAATTTCTGAAGTCTAAAGTCTCATTTGAGACAAGGCAAGTGCCTTCCACCTATAAGCCTGTAAAATAAAAAACAAGTTGTTTACTTGCAAAATACAATGGGAGTACAGGCATTGAGTAAATATTTTCAATCCAAAAGGAATAAATTAGTCAAAATAAAGGGTCTACAGGCCCTACACAAGTCCGAAACCCAGTAGAGCAGTACTTAAGTCTTACAGCTCCAAAATAAACTCCGTTGACTCCATGTCCTGCATACAGGGCACACTGGTGTAAAAGGTGGGCTCCCAAGGCCTTGGGCAGCTCCACCTCTGTGTCTCTAAAGGGGATAACCTCTACAGCTTTTCTCACAGGTTAAAGTTGAGGTGCTAGAGACTACTTGGAATTGGCTATTAGCCATCGGCTATTAGCATTGTCTTGGCTATTAGCACTTGGCTCCTTTTTAGTTATGCTCATATCTCTAGCAAGTAGTTGCTCCACAGTCTCCTTGGATTATTCTCAAAATAGTGCTTTTCTGTCTTTGCCACATGGCCGGGCTGCAAATTTTCCAAGCTTTTATGCTCTGCTTTGCCTTTATATATAAGTTTCAACTTTAATTTTTTTTCTCCCAAAGCTGAGCATAAGCTATTAAAAGCAGCCAGGCCACATCATGCATGCTTTGCTGATTAGAAATTTCTTCCACTAGTTACCCTAAGTAATCACTTAGAGTGATTAAGTTAAGACTTCTACAAACACCTAGGGTATAAACAAAATGTGTCCAAGCTCTTTAATAAGTTACAACATGCATGACTTTTGGTCCAGTTTCCAGTAAGTTCCTCATTTCTATCTGAGACCTTAGCCTGTACTTCACTGTCCATATCGCTATCAACGTTTTCTTCACAATCATTTAACCAGTCTCTAAGAAGTTCTAAGCATTCACTCCTGTTCCTGTCTTCTTCTGAGCCCTCCAAACTCTCCCAACTTCTGCTCATTACACAGTTTTAAAGCCACTTCCACATTTTCAGGTATGTTTATAGGAATGTCCTTCTCCTCAACACCAACTTTTTGTGTTATGCTGTTCCCACATTACTATAAGTAAATACTTGAGGCTAGGTAATTTATAAAGAAAAGAGATTAAATTTGCTTATGTTTCTGCAGGCTGCAGAGGAAACATGGCTCCAGCATCTGCTTCTAGTGAGAGATTTAGGAAACTTACAATTATGGCAGAAGGCAAAGGGGAAGTCAACTTATCACACGGAAAGAGCAGGATCAAGAGAGAGAAGGAGAGGGTGCCACACAGTTTTAAACAGCCAGATCTCATGAGAAATTATTTAGTATCACAAGGACAGCATCCAGGAGATGGTGCCAAATCATTCATGAAATACCCAACCTCAGGATCAAATTACCTCCCACCAGACCCAACATCCAATATTGGGGATTAAATTCCAACATGAGATTTGGTGAGGACAAATACCCAAACCGTATCAAGGCAATCTATTCATGGACTTTTTATTATGGAGAAGTTTTTCATTATCAATTGGATTGCTTTAGTTGTTACAAGCTTCTGTTTCTTCTTGAGTCAGTTTCAGTAGGGCTTTTTCCATTTTTTATAAGTTATATGTTAGTGTATTATTGCTTATACAATAGCTTATTTATTTCTTTTTTTTTTAATTTTACTTTAGGTTCTGGAATACATTTGCAGAACATGCAGGTTTGTTACATAGATATACATGTGCCATGGTGGTTTGCTGCACCTATCAACTCGTCATCTAGGTTTTAAGCCCTGCATACATTAAGCATTTGTCCTAATGCTCTCCTTCCCCTTGCCCCCCAACCCCCAACGGGCCCTGGTGTGTGATGTTCCTCTCCCTGTGTCTATGTGTTCTCACTGTTCAACTCCCACTTATGAGTGAGAAATGCAGTGTTTGGTTTTCTGTTCCTGTGTTAGTTTTCTGAGAATGATGGCTTCCAGCTTCATCCATGTCCCTGCAAAGGACATGAACTCATTCTTTTTCATGGCTGCATAGTATTCCATGGTATATATGTGCCATATTTTCTTTACCCAGTCTATCATTGATGGACGTTTGGGTTGGTTCCAAGTCTTTGACAATAGCCTGTTTATTTCTGTAAGCTCCACAGTAAATGCCCCCTTTTCACCTTATTCGGTATTTCCTTTTTTTTTTTTAATTCTTTAAGTTCTGGGATACATGTGCGGAATGTGCACGTTTGTTACATAGGTATACATGTGCCATAGTGGTTTAATGTACCCATCAACCCATCATCTACATTAGGTATTTCTCCTAATGGTATGCCTCCCCTTGCCCCCACCCCGACAGGCCCTGGTGTGTGATATTTCCCTCCCTGTGCCCATATGTTCTCATTGTTCAACTACCACTTATGAGTGAGACTATGCAGTGTTTTGGTTTTCTGTTCCTGTGTTAGTTTGCTGAAAATGATTGTTTCCAGCTTCATCCATATCTCTGCAAAGAACATGAACTCATTCTTTTTTATGGTTGCATAGTATTCCATGGTATATATGTGCCACATTTTCTTTATCCAGTCTATCATTGATGGGCATTTGTGTCGGTTCCAAGTCTTTGCTATTGTGAATACTCAAAGGATTACAAATCATTCTACTATAAAGACACATGCACACGTAGGTTTATTGATTTGGTAATTTTAATATTCTTTTTTTTCATTCTAGATAAAAGTTTGTCAATTTTGTTCATCTTTTTAAAAAAATTTGAATTATCTCTTTTATTGTTTTTCCCAGCCTCTACTTTATTATTTTAAATCTAGCCTTCACTATTTTCTTCTGCTACTTGTTTTGGATTTAGTTTACATTTATTTTTCTAGTTTGTTTGGTTAGGTTATTAATTTAAGACATTTCTATTTTAAATGTAGGCATTTACGGCCATAAATGTCACTTTGAGAGCTGTTTTTGCTGTGTTCCATTATTTTTGGTACATTATTTACTTGTTTTTCTTTCAGTGTAGTTTGCAATTTCTTTTTTGATTTTTTCTTTAATCCATTGGTTATTTAAGAGCATGTTCTTTCATTTTCACATAATTGTGAATTTCTCAAATTTCTTCTGGTAATTGATTTATAATTTTATTTTATTTAGTTAAAGAATATACTTAGTATGAATTACATCTTGAAGTATTTTGAGAATTGTTTCATGGCCTAACATATGTTCTGTTATAAAATTATTTAAGGTGTACATAAAAATTATATTCTGCTATTGTTGGGTGGAGTGTTCTATAGATGTCATTTAGGTCTAGTTGGTTTATTCAAGTCCTATATTTTCTTGTTTACTTTATGCCTAGTGATTCTACCCATTCTAGAAGTGGGATATTGAAGACTGTAAATACTATTGTAGAATTGTCTATTTCTCCCTTTAATTTTGTCAGTTTTTTCTTCATATATTTTGGGACATTGTCGAAAATACATATGTATTTATGATTCATACATATTGTTGATAAAATGACCCTTTTATCATAAAACAGTATTCTTTTCATCTCAAAACAATTTTTAAAAGTCTATTTTGTCTGATATTAGCATAGATACACAAGCTCACTATTAGTTATTGGTTTCATGATATATCCTGTCTCATCCTTATACTTTAAATCTATTTTTATTTTTGTATCTAAAGTGTATGTCTTGGAGAAAGGTGGAGAAAGATGGTCAAATTAAAGGCTTCATTCATCATTTCCCTGTCAAGGACACCAATTTAACAGCTATCTACATAAATAAGCCATTTCATAAGAACCAAAAATCAGGTACCAGCTTGACCACAGAGGGGTAGAGCATAAAATGGACTCTTGGGGGTTCAAGATTCCAGGCCTTGGCTCTTGTATGGCATTTCTTGACCTGTACTGGGGCAGAGGGGAGCCCACTGCTCTGAATGGTGAGTCCCAGGCCAGGCGGCATTCACCACAAGCTGTCTGAAAAACAATCGGGCCTGAAGGGAATATCACTGGTAGCCTTTCAGTACTCCCTGTGAGCCTACAGTGGTGGTGGCCATGGAGTGAGCCTCCTCTGTTTGTTTAAATTGGTGTGAAGAATGGGAAGAATGGCATCTCGTGGTTTGAGTGCTAGTTTAGCAGTAGTTCAATAGAGTACCAAGTAGGCTAAGGTATTTTACTCCAGTCTCTGGCTCCTGGATGGTACTTCTGAACCTCCCTGGGGCCTGGGGCAACTTGATTCCCTGAAACAAACAAACAACAACAACAACAAACCTAGCGACAACAACAAACAAGCCTAGCTGGATAGCCACATGATGATTGCAGAGCTCCAGGGCTTTGAACAAAGTAGGTGGTAGCCAGGTATTTGTTACAGGCCCAGGGCTCTACAATCCACAGGTGGCAAAGACAGCTAGGCCTGTATCCTTCCCCTCAGGGCAGCAAGTTCCCCCAGGCCCTGAGTGGGCCCAGAGGTGCCATCAAGGATTCAGGGACTAGAGTCACAACCTTAGAAGACTACCCAGTGTTCAATGGTACTGTGGCTGAGCTGGCACTCAAATCATAAGACACAGTTCTTCTCACTCTTCTTCCCATTTTCAAAGGCAGAGAAGCCTCACACCATAGCCACTGCCATCAAAGGCAACAAGGTGTACTGCCAGACTACTGGTGATTTTCCCTTAAGACCCAAAGTCTCTTAAGTCAGCTTGTGATTAATGTTTCCTAGCCTAAGACTCACCCTTCAGGGAAATGGGCTCCACTCTTACCCAGAGCAGGCTCAGAAATGCCATTCAAAAGTCAAGTCCTGAAATCAGAAATCCCAAAACCTCACTTGATTCTCTACACGACTATGGCCGAGCTGATACCTACAGTGCAAGACAAAGTTCCCTTTGCTTTTCCCTCTGCTTTTATCAAGCAGAAGGAGTTTTACCCCATAACCACCATAGCTGGTAATGTGCTGAGTATCACCTAAAGCCAGTAAGACTCAGAGGCTTACCCAAGGCCCACAGTGTGGTACCTTAGTATCGCTGCTGGTTATTCAGTTCCCAATTAGCAGGTGATGAGTGCTGCCAGGAATAGTTTACTCCCTTTAAGGCAGCAGGTTCCCTTCTGACTCAGCGTGTGTATGGAAATGTGATCTGGGATCTAGGGCCTGGAATGGGGGGCTCACTATTCTATTCTACTGTGGCTGAGCTGGTATCCAAGATGCAAGACAAAGTCCTTTCCACTCCTTCCTCTCCTGTCCCAAAACAGAAGAAAGAGGTCTCTTGGAACTATGAGCTGTGCAGTCTGGGGTTAAGAAAGGAGTGCTCCCAGCACTCTCTTAGCTGCCCCAGCTGATATCTCATTAGGTCACATGCCCCAACTCCTACATCCACTGTCTCTGGGCCCAGTTCAGCACTAGAATTCATTTAAGAGCTGCAGTCCCTATGGCCTAGACTGCATTTCAAGTTTAGTTAGAGACACAGAGGACTTTAGCCTTCAGTGGCAAGGTTTGCAGGAACTCAAGTTCAGAGGCTGGGATCAGTGATTTTTCTCTGGCTAGGGCTGATTTACATGCTCCCGCTGTGGATAGGCATCAGCTGAGTTTGGTCCAGATTTCCTTTCTGCTCTAACAGGATAGCACTTATGTTCTCCCTTCCCCAGCACCCAGAGACACACTCTGCACCAGGTTGCCACTGCTGGAGAGTAGGGGAGGGGAGACATCAGCAATTCAAGATGGTTTTTTTCTACCTTTTCAGTGCCTCTCTCAGTGATACAAAGTTAAAACCACGTAATTTGAGGCCTCATGTAATTTTTGGTTAGTATAAACGTGTTTTCACTCTGTAGATAGTTGTTAAATTGGTGTCCTTGTGCAGCGGGACAATCAATGGAGCCTTCTATTCTGCCATCTTGCTCTTGTTCTGCCTCTCCTACCATATTTTTAAATTTGTTTTATCTGTGATGTGCATAGGGATTCAATTTTACATATTATCAGAATCTAGTTCATATTAATTCCAACTTAATTCAATAGTATACAAAACATTTTCATTATATAGAACTCCATTATTTACCATTCCTTTGTGCCATCATTGTAATGTAAATTATATCTGTACACATTACATACCCATTAAACAGATTTAAAATTCTTGCTTTATGCAGCTGTCTTTCAATACATTTATACCATCACTTATAATTATTTATGTAGTCACCATTATCAGTGCTATTTATTTCTACATGGGGATTCAAGTTGCTTTGTAGCATTGATTCATCTTAATCTAAAGACTCTTTTTATATTTATTGTAGGTAAGGCCTTCTAGAGATTTTATTTTTGTTAATAAACAAAATGAATATCTTAATTTCTCTTGCATTTCTGAAGAGCTCTTTTTCTTGACATAGAATTATTGGTTTATAATTATTTTATTTTAACACTTTAAATGTGTTACCCCATTGCCTTCTGGCCTTTATAATTTCTCACTATCTTATTTTGAAGATCCTTTCATACATAATAAAAATCTTCTCACAAGCTGCTTTCAAGATTCTCTTTATCACTGAATTTTAACACTGTTATTGTGCCATATCTAGGTGTGGCTGCCTTTGAGTTCATGCTACTTGGAGTTCATTGTTCTTCTCGAATGTACAGATCAATGTTTTTCATCAAAGTTCGGATTTTTTACCATAATCCATTCAAATATTTTGCATTCTTCTTTGTCTCCCTCCTCTACATCTGGAAGTCACATTATACATATATTGGTGCATTTGATTATGTCCAATGGGTATCTCAGACTTTGTTCATTTTCCTTCATTCTTTACATTCTTTATTCTTTCTGTACTTCAATCTGAATAATTTTATTTGACCTATCTTCAAGTATGCTGATTCTCTCTTCTTGCTCCTCAAATCTGCTGCTGAACCACTGTAGTGGATTTTTCATGTCAGTCATTGTACTTTTCAATTTCAAAATTTCTACTTCTTGATAGACAATTTCTGCTTTATTTGTATTTTCTGTATGGTAAAATAACATTATAATTATTTCATTTAGTTATTTAAACATATTTTTCTTTAGTTGTTTGAACATACCCATAATAGCTAAATTAAAATCTTTGTCATATGAGTCCAACATCTGGACTTCCTCAGGGGAAAGATATATTTTTAACTGTGTATAAGCCATACTTTCTTATATCTTTGCATGTCTTATATTTTTATCTGGGAAAAAGAACATTTTAAATAATATTATGTTTAATTTTTGGATGTTAGATTCTCCTGCTCCTTCCCTGGAGATTATTGTTGTTTATGCTTGTTTATTTTCTGACTTTTTGAAACTAATTTTGTAAGGTCTGTATTCTTTGTCTTGCATGGTCACTGAAGTCTCTGCTCAATTAGCTTAATAATCAGCTAATGACTGAAAACAGATTTCCTTAAATATATTAAACCAATAAGTCCTCCAGTCTTTTCAAGAGACTGTTTGTGTGTGTGTGTGTGTGTGTGTGTGCGTGCATGTGTGAAGGCACAACTTCTTCACTTCCTGCTTGCACAAGTGTCAAAGTATGCCATAAGTGTTAAAGTAGAACACTTGGGTCTTCTCTGAGTATGCACAACATCCTGGTCATGCACACAGCCCAAAGGATGCATGTGGCCTCCTAGATTCTCAGAAATATGTTAGAGTTTTTCAAAGCCTCTACAGACATGTCATTCTCCAGATTTTCTTTTTAAGATGTTTGGTTATCTTATTGGCTTTTCCTTCTGTTATCCACTGCTGCATACACCTGTGAAGTTAAACCATTGTCTGTAAGTGTTTTCAACAAATGTCCCTGAGGGGAGGGGCTTTTTTCCACTGAATAAACTCTTGAGTCAAGTCAAATATAGTCTTCCAAAGGGGTGTCTTCCAGCGAACCATCACACAAGTTGAATAGTAAAAATCCTCTGAAAATGAAAGTTAAAAGAGCTCCATCTCCAAACTTCCATTTCTAGTGGCTGCCAGGCTGCTGGTTTTTACCCTAATTTTGAGTTGCTGATTTTCATAGCTGCTGCAGAGATAGAAGCAGAGAGTGAAAATAGGGCAAGTTATAGTTCCACAAAGCTCACTATTCTTCCTGAGATTCATCTGCTTTTCTTAACACACAACAGAATTCTCTATTAAGTAGATAATGCGGTTAATACAGGTGACCACACACGTAATTTCTACCTCTCCATATTTTAGAATATGTTATCAGTTGTCCCAAATAAAACTGTTTACTCTGCTCTAGAATAGAAGTGTAGGAATAACATGTACTACGATTTCCTTTGGAATAATGGTACAGTGAAAGGTACAGCATAGACACGACCTCTGGAACCCTATCAGCCTGTCATCTTTCAATAGGCAGGCTTGTTGTGTGGAGGTCCTAGAACCTAGGTGTGGGAAGAATAGAAGGGGAAATATATAAAACAGCTGAAAGCAAGTCATGGTTTTTGTCCTAATTCTAATTCCAATAGACTTTGCTGTAACTCAGTAAACTCTATTTCAGTTGTTTTCCAACACTTCTCTTAGTTATCCACAGTATATTAAGGGATTTGCAGGTTTCAACAGGGATCAAAATCAGGCTAAAGCTGGAATATACTCTTAGAACTGCTATCCAAGTACCCTTCCAGATAATAGCTTCCTAAAAGTCTTATTGCTCAAAATCCTTTTCTATTACTTAGAAAACAGAACAAATAAGAATTGAGTTGGGAGGGAACAGATATTCAAAACAGTAAATTTGTTTCAATAAGTATTTGTTGAGTCACAATGTACATAGCATTATACTAGGCACAGCTGTAGGGGCTGAATGGAGGAAATAAATGCAGATATGAATTATATAAAGCTACTACCCTCCGGAAATATACACCTAAGCAAGAGAAGTCTAAAATAGAAATATCAAAAGACACACGTCAAAATAAGGAAACTGCCTATTAAAGAGTACTAGCAAAGTACTCCAAAGATGCAGAAGAGAGTAGAGCACCACAAGGCCATTTGAAATGGACCACAAAGGGTGAACAGGATTTTTCACTAAAGTGAGCATAGGCACTACATGCTGAAGGAAAAAGAATCCAATGTCACTTGTTAATTCAATACTTGTAGGGTAGAAGTGTCTACAATTCAGAAACTAGTTGAGAGCAGATCATGAAGGACTTTGAATGCAAGGTGAAAGGGTGTATTTTTTTCTGTAAGCAATAAAAAGCCAAAGGCTGATATTGTTAAGGAAGTGTTTGACATGAATGAGGTTGTACTTCAGGAAATCAAACCTTGAAGTCATGTGCAGAAGGAATTGCGGAAACAGGTGGTGGTTGGGCAGGGAAGATAGCAGTAAGAAGTCTGGTGAGATGTTGCAAGGCTCTGGATAATAAAGTATTATCATAGGCCAGAACAACACCACAAAGCAATAAAATGTTGGTTTTGGTGCTAGGTTGTCCTAGTCCATTCTTATCCACAGCCCTTTATTCTCCCACGTCTATTGTCATTTCACCACGTATTTTCTGGTGATATTTGTTCCAGGTTTTTTTTCTCTCTCTCCTGATACTAACCTACTCTCAACCCCCAGGACTTCTTGTTAGTATCAGTACCCCTGGGCCTTGCTCTTTGTTGTCCGCACTTAATTATAAAATGTTGGAGCTAAGATCACGCAACTTATAGAAGAGCCAATTTGACATCAGGTCAAGTTGACTCCAAGTTTTAAAAATTCTGTATACATGATGGGGAAACTGAAGTGCAGAAAGGAAAGTGATTTGTCAAAAGTCACATATGAAATCTTTGTCTCAACTGAAGCTTGCAGAAAAGAGACTTAAGAGATTAAGGCCACTCCAATGTTTCTTCCGCTGGATTACATTGCCAGGCTCCCAAGCTGTTATTTATCGCTGAGTAAACTTTAGGCTACAAGGTGTTGGGTTGGTGGTATCTGGTTAGTTACAGCCATGCTGACTGGACTTAGGCCAAAGATCTATGTGTACTCAGCCTCTTCCAGCAACACCACACTCCCCTCAGTTAATCTTAGTCCCCAGCTGTCAAAACAGGTGGTACATGGAAAAAGCCTGAGAAAGCAGCACTGCTGAGAGAGGAGAACAAAAATGCTGAAGTCTGAGAGAAATTAGGTTACTAAGAGGGCTGACTGAAGAAGGAAGCCATAGAGCCTCTTTCAGGCAGGCAGAATATATGGGGGTAAATGAATAGTAAAATGTACATACAAGAAAATGCAGAATGAGGTAGAGCAAGATGGCCAAATAGAAGCCTCCACTGATCATCCTCCCTGCAGGAATACAATTTTTTTTATAACCACCTATTCAAAAAGCACCTTCATGAAAACCAAAAATCAGATGAGAGATTGCAGTACCTGATTTTAACTTCATATCACTGAAAGAGGCACTGAAGAGGGTAGGAAGGACAGTCTTGAATTGCCAACACCACCCACCCCCCGACCTGGTGTCAGTGGCCTCATGGCATGGAGAGAGAATCTGTGCATTTGGGGGAGGGTGAGCAAAATGAATGTGGAACTTTACATTGCAATGCAGTGCTAACAACATTGGGAAGAACTCAGCTGATGCCTGTGGAGGGAGCATTTAGACCAGCCCTATACAAAGGGGAATTGCTCATCCTAGCAGTTGAAACCTGAGTTTTGGTAAGCCTCACCGCTGTGAGCTAAAGCACTCTAGGATCCTAAATGAACTTAAAAAGCTGTCTAGGCCAGAAGGACTGCAATTCCTAAGCAATTCATAGTGCTGCGCTGGACTAGGGGAGTCACATGACCTAGCGAGACACTATCCAGGGCAGCTAAGGGAGTGCTTACATCATCCCTCCCCAAACTCCAGGTGCAGCCATCAGCTCCAAAAGCAAACCCTTCCTTCGGCTTGAGAGGAGAGGGAAGAGTGAAGTGGACTTTGTTTTGCAACTTGGATTCCAGTTCAGCCACAATAGAATAGGGCACTAAGCAGAGACAGGAGGCCCCAATTCCCAGCCCTAACTCCTGGATGACATTTCTAGACACACCTTGAAATTGAAGGGAATCTGCTCTCTTGAAAGGAAGGACCGAGTTGACAGGATTTGTTACCTGCTGATTAAAGCCCTCATTGGACCTTGAATAATCAGCACCGATAACAAGAGAATACATGTCATGGGCCTTGGGTGAGACTCAGAGAGATGCTGGAATAAGGAGTAACCAAGCATATTCACAGCTGTGATGGCTATGAAGATGGATAGACTCCTTCTGCTTGAGAAAAGGAGAAGGAAGTATAAAGGCAACTTTTTCTTGCAACTTAGGCGCTAGCATTGCCACACTGGGAAAGAGCACCAAGTGCGCTCTTGGGGTACTCAATTCCACATCTTTGATCTTGGATGGCATTTCTGGACTTTCCCTGGGCAAGAGGGGAGACCACTGCTGCTGCTGTGAAGGTGAGTCACAGACCTAGCAAAAACTGCTTGACAAGCCCTTGGGCTTTAAGGAAACATTGGCAGTACTTCCTGTGGACTGGTGGTAGTGGTGGAAGAGGTGAGAAACACCCCTGCCTGAGGAAATGGGAGGAAAGACTGAGAAAAACTTTGTCGTGTGGTTTCAGTGCCAGCTTAGCCAAAATAGAATAGAGCACCAGGTAAAATCAAAGGTTTCTGACTCTAGGCAGTAGCTCCCAGATGGCAATTCTGGACCTGTCAGGGGCCTAGAAGAACTTGCTTTCCTGGAGGGAAGGACACAAGATTAACTGGCTTAACCACCTGGTATTTGTAGACTCCTAGGTCCCTGGACAAACATAGGTGGTAGCCAGGTAGTAGTTACAGCAGGCCTCGGGCAAGGTCCAGTACTGTATAGGCTTCAGATCAGACCCAGCACAGTCCAAGTGGGGGTGGCCACAGGGATGTTTGTGTTATCCCTCACCCCAGCTCCAGGCAGCTCAGCAAAGAGAGTGAGACTCTGTTTGTTTGGGAGAAAGTGAGGAAAGTGAATAAAAGTCTGTTCTTGGAAATCCAGGAAATTCTTCCAGATCTTATCTAAGACCACCAAGGTGGTCCCTGTACAAATCTTCAAGAAATATGATGTTACTGGGCTTGGGGTGCCACTAATGGAAATACAGATATAGTGCCCAAAAACTTAAATCACAACACCTAAGTCCCTTCAAATACCTGGAAAGCCTTCCCAAGAAGAATGAGTACAAACAAGCCTAGACTTTGAGGACTACAATAAATACCTAATTATTCAATGCCCCCAAATCACCAAATATTCATAAGCATCAAGACCATCCAGGAAAACATAACCTCAGAAAATAAACTAAATAAAGCACCAGGGACAAACCTTGGGGAGACATAGATATGGTGACTCTTCAGGCAGAGAATTCAAAATAGCTGTCTTCAGGAAACTCAAAGAAATTCAAAATTACACAGAGAAGAAGTTTAGAATTCCAGGAGATAAATCGAACATGGGAATTTAAATAATTAAAACGAATCAAGCAGAAATTCTAGAGGTGAAAAATGTGGGTGACACACCGAAAGATGCATCGGAGTCTCCTAATAGCAGAACTGATCAAGCAGAATAAATAATTAGTGAGCTTTAAGACAGGCTATTTAAAACTACACAAAGGAAACAAAAAAAAATGAGGCACGCCTAGTAGATTTTTAAAAGGGCAAATCTAAGAGGTATTGGACTTAAAGAGAAGGTAAAGAAAGAGATAGATGTAGAAAGACTTACATTTCATATAATGGGTGTTGAATACACATTCTTCTCAACACATGGATTATTTTCAAAGATAAACTATTATGTTAGGCCACAAAACAAGTATTAAAACATCCAAAATATTAAATAATATTTAGCATCTACTCTGACCACAATGGAATAAAACTAGAAATCTATAATAAGAATAATTTTGGAAACTATATAATCACATGGAATTTAAACAATATTCTCCTGAATGACCAGTGGGTCAATGAAAACAGAAAGAGAAAATTCATAGGAGAAAAGAAATAAAGATCAAAGAAGAAATAAAGAAAATTAAAATTGAGAAAATAATACGAAGATTAACAAAACAAAAAGTATTTTCAAAAGATAAAAATAATAAAACATTTTAACCAGACTGAGAAGAAAAAGACAGAAGACAAAATAAATAAAATCAGAGATTAAAAGAGAGACATTGCAACCAATTCTGCAGAAACTCAAAGGTTTATAGAGGTTACTATGAGCAACTATGTGCCAACACATTGGAAAACCTAGAAGAAATAGGTAAATTTCCAGACACATAAAATCTACCAAGATTGAACCATGAAGAAATCCAAAACATAAATAGAACAGTAACTAGTAAAAAGATTGAAATCATAATGAAAAGTCTCCCAGCAAACAAAAGCCTGGGACACAATGTCATCACTGCTGAATTTTATGAAACATTTAAATAAATAATACCAATTCTACTCCAATTATTCCAAAAAATAGAGGTAAATGGAATAATTCCAAACTCATTCTACAAGATCAGTATTACCCTGATAACAAAACCAAACACTTATCAAAAAAAAAGCCAAAATCTCTGATGAACATTGATGCAAGAATTCTCAACAAAATAGTAGCAAACTGAATTCAACAACACATTAAAAAGAACATTCATCATAACCAAGTGAGATTTATCCCAGGGATTCAAGGATGGTTCCATATATGCAAATTAATTAATGTGATATATCAACACAATGAAGGAAAAAAACCACATGATCATTTCAATTGATGCTGAAAAACCATTTGATAATATTGAACATTTCTTTATGATTGAAAAAGAAAACCTCAAAAAACTGGGTATAGAAGGAGCTTACATCAACAAAATAAAAGTCATATACAATGGCCCACAGTTAGTATCATACTGATTGGGGAAAAACTGAAAGCTTTTCCACTAAGATAGGGAACATGACAAAGATAACCACTATCACCATTGTTATTTAACATAGGACTGGAAGTCATAGCTTGAGCAATCAGAAAGGGAGAAAAATAAAGGGCATCCAGACTGGAAAAGAAGTCAAATTATTCCTGTTTGCAGATTATAGGATCTTATGTTTGAAAAAATCTAATGATGCCAGCAAAAAATTAAAACTAATAAGCAAATTCAAGGAAGTTACAGAATACAAAATGAACAAACAAAAATTGACAACATTTTTAATATGCCAAAAGCAAACAATCTGAAAAAGAAATCAAGAAAGTAATCCCATTTACAATAGCTACAAGTAAAATTAAATATCTATGAAATAACTTAATCAAATACTTAAAATACCTGTACAATTAAACTATAATTTACTGATGAAAGAAATGTAAGAGGACAAAGATGGAAAGATATTTTATGTTCATAAATTGAAATAATCAGTATTGTTAAAAAGTTCATATTGCCCAAAGCAATCTATAGGTACAGTGCAGTCTTTATCAAAATATCAAGGACATTCATCACAGAAAGAGAAAAGGCAACTATAAAACTTATGTGGAGCCACAAAAGACCCTGAAAAGCTAAAGCTATTCTGAGCAAAAAGAACAAAACTGGAGAAATCACCTGAGTTCAAATCATACTACAGAGCAACAGTAACCACAACAGCATGGTACTGGCATAAAACCATATGCACAGATCAGTGGAACAAAATAGAAAACTCATTTTTTGGTCATTTCCTTCATTAGGGTTTTATAGTTTTCATTGTAAAGATATTTCACCTTGGTTAAGTTAATTTCTAGGTATTTAATTTTACATGTGGTTATTATAAATGGGATTACTTTTTAATTTCTTTTTCACATTGTTCACTGCTGGCATATAGAAATGCTACTGATTTTTGTATGTTGATTTTGTATCCTGCAACTTTACTGAATTTGTTTATCAGTTCTAATAAAAATAAAAACAGACTCATGAACATGGAGAGTAGAAGGATGGATACCAAAGGCTGAGAAGAGTAGTAGCGGGCTGAAGGGTAGGTGGGGATGGTTAATGGGTACAAAAAATATAGAAAGAATAAATAAGGCTTACTATTGATAGCACAAGAGTGACTACACAGTCTGTAATAACTTTATTATATATCTTTAAATAGCTTAAAGAATGCAATTGCTTAGTATTGTTTAGGCTATGCAGGCTCTTTTGGGTTTCACATGAATTTTAGGATTGTTTTATTCTTGTTCTGTGAAGAATGATGATGGTATTTTCATGGGAATTGCATTAATTTGTAAATTGGTATGGGAAGTATGGCCATTTTAACAAAATTGATTCTACCTGTTCATGAGCATGAGATGCGTTTCCATTTGTTTGTGTCATCTGTGATTTTTTTCAGCAGTGTTTTTTAGTTTTCCTCATAAAGATCTTTCACTTCCTTAGCTAAGTATATTCCTAAGTATTTTATTTTTCTGCAGCTGTTGTAAAAGGGATGGAGTTCTTGATTTGATTCTCAGCTGGTCGTTGTTGGTGTATGGCAGTGCTACTGGTTTGTGTACATTGATTTTATATCCTGAAACTTTACTGAATTTATTTATCAGATCTAAGAGCTTTTTAAAGGAGTCTTTAGGGTTTTCTAGGTATGCAATCATATTATCAGCAAACATTGACACTTTGACTTCCTCTTTTTCAATTTGGATTTCCTTTACTTTTTTCTCTTGTCTGATTGCTCTGGCTAGGACTTCCAGTACTATGTTTAATAGAAGTGATAAAAATGGGCATCCTTCTCTTATTCTAGTGCTCAGGGGCAATGCTTTTGGCTCTTCCCCATTCAGTGCTGTCGGTTTGTCATAGATGGCTTTTATTACTTTGAGTTGTGTCCCTTCTGTGCCAATTTTGTTGAGAGATTTTATCATAAAGGATGCTCGATTTTGTCAAATGCTTTTTCTGCATCTATTGAGATGATCATATAATTCTTGTTTTTAATTCTGTTAATGTAATGCATTACATTTATTGATTTGAGTATATAAAACCATCCCTGCATCCCTGGTATAAAACCCACTTGATCATGATGTATTATCTTTTTAATATATTGCTGAATTTGGTTAGCCAGTATTTTTGTTGTGGATTTTTGCATCTATGTTCATGAGGGATATTTGTCTGTACTTTTCCTTTTTGTCACGTATTTTCCTGGCTTTGGTGTTAGGTTGATACTGGCTTCATAGAATAATTTAAGGAGGATTCTCTCTTTCTCTATCTTTTGAAACAGTTTCAGTAGAATTGGTACCAATTCTTCTTTGAATTTCTAATAGAATTCACTGGTGTATCTGTCTGGTCCTGGGCTTTTTGTTTTTGGCAATTTTTTTATTACTGATTCTATCTCGCTGTTTGTTATTGGTCTGTTCAGAGTTCAATACTAAACAAAAAGAATAAATCTGGAGGCATCACATTACCCAACTTCAAACTATACTACAAGGCTATAGTTACCAAAAGAGTAAGGTACTGGCATTAAAAGAGTCATGTAGACCAATGGAACATAATATAGAACCAAGAAATAAAGCCAGATACTTACAACCAACTGATCTTCAACAAAGCAATACATAAATAAATAAATAAACCATAAACTGGAGAAAGAACACCCTATTCAACAAATGCTGCTGAGATAATTGGCAAGCCACATTTAGAAGAATGATGCTGGATCCTCATCTCTCACCATATAAAAAATCAACTCAAGATGGATCACAGACCTAAATATAAGACCTGAAATTATAAAAATTCTACAAGATGATATCAGAAAAACTCTTCTAGACATTGGCATAGGCAAAGAATTCATGACCAGGAGCCCAAAAGCAAATGTAACAAAAACAAAAATAAATAGATGGGACTTATTTAACTAAAAAGCTTCTGCACAGCAAAACAAATAATTAGCAGAGTTAACAGACAACCCACAGAGTGGGAGAAAATCTTCATGAGCTATACATCCAACAAACAACTAATATTCAGAATCTACAAGGAATTCAAACAAATCATCAAGGAAAAAAATAATTCCATCAAAAAGTGGGCAAAGGACATGAATACACAATTGTCAAAAGATATACACACAACAAGGGTATAAAAAAAACTCAACATCACTAATTATCAGAAAAATGCAAATTAAAACCACAGTGTGATAGAACCTCACTCCTGCAAGAATGGCCATACTTTCTTAAATCAAAAAATAATAAATGTTGATGTGGACATGGTGAAAAGGAAACACTTTTACACTGCTGGTGGAATGTAAACGAGTACAACCACTACAGAAAACACTATGGAAATTTATTAAATAACTAAAAGTAGATGTAACATTTGATCCAGCAATCCCCTCACTGGGTATCTACCAAAAGAAAAATAAGTCATTATATGAAAGAGACACTTGCACACACATGTCTAAAGCAGCACAATTACAAAAATATGAAACCAACCCAAAACCAACAAGTGGATAAAGAAAATATGGTATATATACACCATGGAATGCTACCCAGCCATAAAATGGAATAAGACAATAGCATTTGCAGAAATTTGGATGGAATTGGAGACCATTATTCCAAGTGAAGTAACTCAAGAATAGAAAACCAAATATTGCATGTTCTCACTTATAAGTGGGAGCTACTTCCATGAGAATGCAAAGCATATAATGGACTTTGGAGACTCAGGGAAGAGTGGAAGGAGGGTGAGAGATAAGAGACTACATATTGGGTAGAGTGTACACTGATTAGGTAATGGGTGGACCAAAATCTCAGAAATCATCCCTAAAGAGCTTATTCATGTAACCCAAAACCACCTGTTTTCAAAAAATTATTGAAATAAAATTATTAAAAAAGAAAAAATAAAACCACAAGATAGTAACTGGATTGTTTGTAACTCAAAGGATAAATGCTTGAGAGAACAGATAGCCCATTCTCCATGATGTGCTTATTTCAAATTGCATGCCTGTATCCAAACATACAGTGTATCTTCTAAATATATACACCTACTATGTACCCACAATTTAAAAAAAAAGAATAGAGAACCAGAGATAAATTCATATATCTACAGTGAACTCGTTTTCAACATAGGTGCCAAAAACATACATTGAGGAAAGAGCAGTCTATTTAATAAATGGTTCTGGACAAACTAGAGAAACATATGCATAATAATGAAACTAGACCCTGTCTCTCACCATATGAAAAATCAAATAAAAATGTATTAGAGACTTAAATCTATGAAACTACTGAAACAAAACACTTGGAAAACTCGCCAGAAATTGGACTGTGCGAAGATTTATTGAGTAATACTTCACCAGCACAGGCAACAAGAGCAAAAATGTCCAACCAGAATCACACAAAGTTAAAGAGCTTCTGCATAGCAAATTAAAGAATCAATAAAGTAAATAGACAACTCACATAATGGGAAAAAGTATTTGCAAGTTATCCATCTGACAAGGGGTTAAAAATCAGAATATATATAAAGAGGTTGATATGGCTTGGCTCTATGTCTCTACCCAAATCTCATCTCAAATTGTAATCCCAACCTGTTGAGGAAGGGGCCTGGTGGGAGGTGACTGGATCATGGGGGCTGTTTCCTCTATTCTGTTCTCATAATAGTGAGTGAGTTCTCATATGTTCTGATGGTTTTAAAAGTGTTTGGCAGTTCCCCCACCCCCTACCCTGCTGCTGCCACCATGAGAAGATGTGCCCTGCTTCCCCTTCACCTTCTGCCATGATTGTAAGTTTCCAGAGACCTCCCCAGCCATGTGGAACTGTGAGTCAATTAAATCTCTTTCCTTTATAAATTACCCAGTCTCAGGTATTCTTCATAGCAGTTTGAGAATGGACTACTACAGACATCAACCAACTCTATAGGAAAAAATATCTAATTGTCTGATTTTAAAATATGCCAATGATTTGAAAAGACATTTCTCAAAAGAAGACATACAGATGGCAAACAGGCATATAAAAAGGTGCTCAACATCATTGACCATCAGAGAAATGTAAATCAAAACTACCATGAGATATCATCTCACCCCAGTTAAAATGGCTTTTATCCAAAAGTCAGGCAATAACAAATGTTGGCAAGGATGTGGAGAATAGGAAACCTTTGTACACTGTTGGTGGGAATGTAAGTTAGTACAACTACTATGAAGAATAGTTTGGAGATTTCTCAAAAAACTAAAAATAGAACTACCATATGATCCAGAAATTCCATTAACAGGAATATATATGAAAGAAAGGAAATCAGTATATCAAAGGGACACCTGCCCTCCCATGTATACTGTAGCACTATTCACAATAGCCAAGATCTGGAAGCATCCCAAGTATTCATAAACAGATGAATGGATTTAAAAATGTGGTACATATACACAATGGAGTACTCTTCAGCAATAAAAAGGAATGAGATTCTGTCATTTGCAACAGCCTGGATGAAACTTGAGGTCATTATATTAAGTGAAATAAGCTAGGCACATAAAGACAAACTTTACATATTCTCACTAATTTGTGGGAACCACAAATTTAAACATTTGAACTCATATAGATAGATAGTAGAAGGATGGTTACCAGAGACTGGGAAGAGGAACAGGAGGTGATGGGGAGTGGGGATGATTAACGGGTACAGAGAATAGTTATAAAGAATGAATAAGATAGTGTTTGATAGCACAACAGGATGAGTATAGTGAATAATAATTTAATTGGAAAAAGTCAAGGGGGTAGGGGAAGATGGCCTAGGAGAAATAGCTCTGGTCTACAGCTCCCGGCCAGACAAACACAGAAGACAAGTAATTTCTGCATTACCAACTGAGGTACCCAGTTCATCTCATTGGGACTGACTAGGTGGTTGGCGTGACACATATAGAGCAAGGAAAAGCAGGATGGGGTGACGGTTCACCTGCGAGCTGTACAGGACAATGGGACCTCCCTCTCCCAGCCAAGGGAGGTGGTGAGGGGCTGTGTTACCTAACCGGGATACTACATTTTTCCCACGGATTTTTGCAATCCGTGGATCAGATTTCCTCATGAGCCTACACCACCAGGGCCTTGGGTCTCAAGCACAAAAGTGGGCAGACCCACAGCAGCTGCTTGGGCAGGCATTTAGTTGCAGGAGTTTTTATGTGCTCCGATGGTGCCTGGAACTCCAGTGAGGCAGGAGAACCTTTCACCCCCATGGAAAGGAGACTGAAGCCAGGCAGCCAAACGGCCTCCCTCAGTGGGTCCCACTCCCATGGAACCCCACAAGCTAAGATCCACTGGCTTGGAATCCCCACTGGCCAACACAGCAGCCTAAAGTCTGCCCAAGATGACCGAGCTCCTGGTGGAAGAGCGGACCACCATTACTGAGGTTCTAGTCGGTGGTTTTCCCTGGTCAGTGCTAGAGATACTGGGAGGTTTGGACTGAATGGTACTCCTCACAGTGCAGCACAAAGGCTGTGGCAGATAGTGGCGAGACTGCTTCTTTAGGTGGGACCCAGATCCATCCTCACTGGGCAGGGCCTCCCTGCAGGAATTTCGGCAACTCCAGACAGGGGGCTTACACACAGAACTCTTATCTCCCTGGGGCAGAACACCTGGGGAGAGGGGTGGCCATGGTCTCAGACTCAGTGGACTTAATATTTCCTGCCTGCTGGCTCTGAAGAGTCCAGGCAATCTGGAGGAGGGGGATTCCACCAGCACAGTGCAACAGCTCCGCTAAGGGACAGTCAGACTGCTTCCTTAAATGGGTCCGTGATCCCATGCCTCCTGACTGGGTGAGACCTCCCAACAGGGGTCGCTAGACACGTCATACAGGAGAGTTCTGGCTGGCCTCAAGTCGGTGCCCCTCTGGGACAATGCTTCTTGAGGAAGGAGGAGACAGCAATCTTTGTTGTTCTGCAGCCTCCACTGGTGATGCCCAAGTAAACAGGGTCGGGAGTGGACCCACAGCAAACTGCAGCAGACCTGCAGAAGAGGGGCCTGACTGTTAAAAGACAAACAAAGAGAAAGCAACAATTACAACATCATCAAAAAAGACCCCACAAAACCCCATTCAAAGTTCAACAGCCTTAAAGATCAAAGGCAGATAAATCCACGAAGATATTTAAAAAAATTCAAAAACATTGAAAATTCCAAAAGCCAGAAATCCTCTTCTACTCCAAATGATCACAAGACTTCTCCAGCAAGGGCACAGAACAGGGCTGAAGCTGAGATGGATGAACTGACAGAAATAGGTTTCAGAAAGTGGGTAATAACAAACTTCACTGAGCTAAAGAATTCTCTTCTAACCCAATAAAAAGAAGCTAAGAACTATGATAAAAGATTACAGGAGGAATATAAATGACCTGATGGAGCTGAAAAATACAGCACGAGAACCTCATGATGCAAACACGTATATCAATAGCTGAATCGACCAAGCAGAAGAGAGAATATCAGAGCTTGAAGAATGTCTTGCTGAAATAAGGCAGGCAGACAAGATTAAAGAAAAAAGAATGAAAAGGAACAAACAAAACCTTCAAGAACTATGGGACTCTGTAAAAAGACAAAACCTACAACTGATTGGAGTAACTGAAAGACATGGGGAGAATGGAACAAAGTTGAAAAACCACTTCAGGATATCATCCAGGAGAACGTCGTCAACCTAGCAAGACAGGCCAACATTCAAATTCAGGAAATTCAGAAAACCCCAATAAGATACTCCACGAGAAGATCTACTTCAAAACACATAATCATCAGATTCTCCAAGGTTGAAATGAAGGAAAAAAATGTTAAGGGCAGTCAGAGAGGAGAGCTAAATCACCTACAAAGGAAAGCCCATCAAACTAACAGCAGACCTCTCAGTGAAAATCCTAGGAATCAGAAGAGATTTTGGGGCCGATATTCAACATTCTTAAAGAAGAGAATTTCCAACTCAGAATTTCATAACCGGCCAAACTAAGCTTCATAAGTAAAGGGGAAATAAAATATTTTTCAGACAAGCAAATGCTGAAGGATTTTGTCATCACCAAGCCTGCCTTGCAAGAACTCCTGAAGGAAGCACTAAACATAAAAAGGAAAAACTGTTAACAGCCACTACAAAAACACACTGAAGTACACAGACCAACAACACTATCAACCAACTACATTAACAAGTCTGCAAAATTAACCAGCCAGCATCATGACAGGATCAAATTCACACAAAACGATATTAACCTTAAGTGTAAATCAGTGAAATGCCCCAATTAAAAGACACAGAATGGCAAGCTGGATAAAAAGACAAGGCCCATCAGTGTGCCGTATTCAAGCAACACATCTCACATGCGAAGATACACATAGGCTCAAAATTTTAAAAAGGAGGAAATTTACCAAGTAAATGGAAATCAGAAAAAGTAGTGTTTGCAATCCTAGCTTCTGACAAAATAGACTTTGAACCACCAAAGTTCAAAAGCAACAGAGAAGGACATTACATAATGGTAAAGGGTTCAATTAAACAAAATGTCTACCTATTCTAAGTACATATGCACACAATACAGGAACACCCATATTTGTAAAACAAGTTCTTAAAAACCTCCAAAAAGACTTAGTGCCCCACACAATAATAGTGGGAGACTTTAATACCCCACTGATTCAGAACTTGAACTCAGCTCTGGACCAAGTGGATCTGATAAACATCTACAGAACTCCATCCCAAAACAACAGAATATACATTTTGATGAGCACCACCTGGCACTTACTCTAAAATTAATCACATAATTGAAAGTAAAATACTCCTCAGCAAATGCAAAAGAACTGAAATCATAACAGTCTCTCAGATCACAGCACAATAAAATTAGATCTCAAGATTAAGAAACACACTCAAAACCACACGACTACATGAAAACTGAACAATCTGCTCCTGAATGACTTATAGGCAAATAATGAAATTAAGGCAGAAATCAAGTTCTTTGAAACCAATGAGAAAAAAGTGACAATGTACCAGAATCTCAGTGATGCAGCTAAAGCAGCATTAAGAGGAAAATTTATAGCATTAAATGCCCACATCAAAAAGATAAAAAGAGCTCAAATCAACACCCTCACATCACAACTAAAAGAACTAGAGAACCAAGAGCAAACAAACCCCAAAGTTAGCATAAGACAAGAAATAGCCAAGCTCAGAGTGGAACTGAAGGAGATAGAGACAAAAAAAAAATCCTCCAAACAATCAATGATCCAAGAGTTCATTTTTTGAAAAAATTAATAAAATAAATAGACCACTAGCTAGACTAATAAAAAGGAAAAGAGGAAAGATTCAAATAAACACAATAAAAATAATAAAGAAGATATCACCACTGACCCCACAGAAATAGAAACAACCATCAGAGAATACTATAAACACCTCTATGCAAACAAGTGGGAAAATCTAAAATAAATGGTTAAATTCCTGGACACATACACCCTCTCAATACTGAACCAAGAAGAAGTTGAATCACTGAATAGACCAATAATGAGTTATGAAATTGAGGCAGTAATAAATAGCCTACCAACCAAAAAATACCCAAGCCAGATGGACTTACAGCTGAATTCTACCAGAGGTAAAAAGGGGAGCTGGTATCATTTCTTCTGAAATGATTTCAAAAAATTGAAAAGGAGGGACTCCTCCATAACTCATTTTATGAAGCAAGCATCATCCTGATACCAAAACCTGGCAGAGATACACCAAAAAAAGAAAACTTCAGACCAATATCCCTGAAAAACATTGATGCAAAAATCCTCAATAAAATACTGGCAAACTGAATCCAGCAGCACATCAAAAAGCTTGTTCATCACAATCAAGATGGCTTCATCCCCAGGATGCAAGGTGGGTTCTATATATGCAAATCAATAAAAGTAATTCATCACATAAACAGAACTAAAGACAAAAAGAAAATCACCTGATAATCTCACTAGATGCAGAAAAGGCCTTTGATAAAATTCAACATCTCTTCATGTTAAAAACTCTCAAAAAACTGATATTTAAGAAACATACCTCCAAATAATAAGAGCCATTTATGACAAACTCACAACCAATATCATCCTGACTGTGCAAAAGCCAGAAGAATTTCCCTTGAAAACCAGCACAAAACAAGGATGCCCTCTCCCAACACTTTTATTTAACATATTATTGGAAGTTCTGGCCACGGCAATTAGGCAAGAGAAAGAAATAAAGGGCATCCAAATAGGAAGAGAGGAAATCAAATTGTCTATTTGCAGATGACATGATCCTGTATCTAGAAAATCCAAGTGACTCAGCGCAAAAGCTTCTTAGGCTGACAAGCAATTCCAGCAGTCTCAGGATATAAAATCAATGTGCAGAAATCACAAGAATTTCTATACACCAACAACAGACAAGCAGAAAGCCAAATCGTGAATGAACTTCCATTCACAATTGCCAAAAAGAGAATAAAATACCTAGGAATACAGCTAACAAGAAAAGTGAAGGACCTCTTGAAAGAGAACCACAAATCACTGCTCAAGGAAATCAGAGAGGACACAAGCAGATAGAAAAACATTCCATGCTCATGGATAGGAAGAATCAATATTGCAATAAAGCAATATATAGATTCAACGTTATTCCCATTAAGCCACCACTGACATTCTGAATAGAATTAGAAAAAACTATTTTAAAATTTATATGGAACCAAAAAGAGCTTGTATAGCCAGGACAATCCTAAGCAAAAAGAGCAAAGCTGGAGGCATTACACTACCCAATATCAAACTATACTACAAGGCTGCAGTAACAAAAACAGCATAACACTGGTACAAAAACAGGCACATAGACCAATGGAACAGAATAGAGAATTCAGAAATAAGACCACATATCTACTCCATCTGATCCTGGACAAACCTGACAAAAACTAGAAATGGGGAAAGGATTCCCTATTTAACAAATGGTACTGGAAGAACTGGCTAGCCATATGCAGAAAATTGAAATTAGATCCCTTCCTTATACCTTATACAAAAATTAACTCATTTCATTAATGACTTAAATGTAAAACACAAAACTATAAAAACCCTAGAAGAAAATCTAAGTAAAACCATTTAAAACATAGGCATGAGCAAATATTTTGTGATAAAATTGCCAAAGCAATTGCAACAAAAGCAACAATTGACAAATAGGATCTAACTAAACTGAAGAGCTTCTGCTCAGCAAAAGAAACTATCATTAGAGTGAACAGACAACCTACAGATTGGGATAAAATTTTTGCAATCTATCCATCTGACTAAGGTCTAATATCCAGAATCTACGAGGAACTTAAGCAAATTTACAGGAAAAAAAATAACCCCATTAAAATGTGGGCAAAGGACATGAACACATTTTTCAAAAAAAAAAAAAGACATACATGCAACCAACAAATGTATGAAAAAAAGCTCAACATCGCAGATGAGTAGATAAATGCAAATCAAAACCACAATGAGATATCATCACATGTCAGTCAGAATGGCAATTATTAAAAAGTTAAGAAACAACAGATGCTGGTGATGTTGCCAAGAAAAGAAATACTTTTACACTGTTGGTGGGAATGTAAATCAGTTCAATCATTGTGGAAGACAGTATGGCAATTCCTCAAAGATTTAGAACTGGAAATACCATCTGACCCAGCAATACAATTACTAGGTATATACCCAAATAAATATAAATCATTCTATTATAAAGATACATACACACTTATATTCACTGCAGCACTCTTCACAATAGCAAAGAAATGGAATCAATCCAAATGCTCATCAGTGATAGACTGGATAAAGAAAATGTGGTATATATACACCATGGAAGACTATGCAGCCATAAAAAGGAATGAGATAATGAAGCTGGAAGCCATTATCCTCAGCAAACTAACACAGGAACAGAAAACCAAACACCCCATGTTCTCACTTATAATTGGGAGCTGAGCAATGAGAACACATGGACACAGGAAGTGGAAAAACACACACTGGGGCCCGTCAGGGGAGGGTGGGGCATAGGGGAAAGAGCACTAGGGAAAAGAGCTAATGTATGCTGGGCCTAATACCCAGGTTATGGGTTGATCGGTGCAGCAAACTACCATGGCACACGTTTACCTATGTAACAAACTTGCACATCCTCCACATGTACCTCGAAATTTAAAAAACAGTAATTAAAATAATTTTTAATGTACATTTTATATTATCTAAAAGAGTATAATTGGATTGTACAACAAATGATAAATGCTTGGGGTGATGGCTACCCCATTTATTCTGATGTGATTATTACACATTGTATGCCTATTGCAAAATATCCCACAATTATATACACCTACTACAAATCCACAAAAAATTAAAAGTTAAAAAAAAGAAAATGTGAAGGAGTATGATGAGAGAGATGAAGGGAAATGTGAGACAGCATGGTAGTAAGAATGGGAAAACATGAAAGGGGCAATTATATGGGGAGAGGAATATGTGACAGTGGTGTAAATAATAGTTTAAGGCAATAATCTGAGAAGAATCCTATTACCAGGCAAAATTATATACTGACCCTTTTCCAAAAAAGAACACAAAAAGAGAGTGTCATTTTATTAATATAAATCTAATTTATGAGTTCAAATTTATAATTAATTTATATGACAAAGTTAAAAAGATCACAAGTTAAGGTGGTGTTAAATTTGATTCATAAAACTTATGAATATATGTGTTTGAAGTTTTTGTTTCAGTCATAAATATACATTTTATTTTTATGAAAATTATAAGTTTTAACTGTATTTAATCATAGACACATTTCATGTTTTTTAAATATCTATAATTATTATGGATTAATAATAATTATACATATTTAGGTGTACATGTCAATATAAGCACATGATGTTTAATGATCCATCTAAGTTTTCATCAATGAATAAATGAATAAAAAAGTGGTACAGATACAAAATGGAATATTATTTAGTCATATAAAAGAATGAAAGTCTTTCATTTGCCAAATATGGATGAACTGGAAGATATTATGTTAAATAAAATAAGCTACACGCAGAAAAACATATATTACATATTCTTATTTACATATTTAAGCCAAAATACATACATTTAAAAAATGCAAATAAAACATTTCCAGACTCTCTAAAATTGTTTTTATGAAAAAAAAAATTCTTCAGAAGATATCTTAAATCAGTGACTTTACAGGTTCCCTTTTCTAGACTATTTGCCATAGGGAAATAGTCCAAAAGAAATGTCTACAAAAATTAAATGTATGAAAGTCTAATAATGTAGGAATTTCAGAAGGTAGAACTTTTCAAAAAATGTCAAAAGCTCTGAAGGTAGTGTAGTTTGCAGATAATTTGAAAAAAAACTATCATTTTAAATATTATAATTTTATACCTAAAAAATGAAAAAGGTAGCACTGCTTTGCAACATAAATACAAAAATAAAGCCTGGCAAAATCTTCCTGACTAGTGGGGGATATGAAAAACATACAGCATAATTCGGGAGGTGAAGAGAAAAGTCCCTTTTGGCAAAAAATCTATATCAGAATTCTGATGGGTGCATGACATTTGTACTCTTATCAACAAGAGGCATGGGATGTTTAAGTGAGGAAAACACTATTTTACAGCGTATAGACAAAGTCTGTAATAAGGACAAAGCAGTAAGATTATATAAAGACTTTATATCTCTTTCCTCTAATATCAACTGTTTTTTTTTTAACCTAAGCTGAAGGGGCTATATGAGGTTTGGCAATAGTTTCTTCCACTAAGGCAGAGGTTCTTAATCCAAGTAATAACTTCAGAATACAATGAGCCATGTGAAATTGTATGCAAAATTTCACATAGATGCATGTACATTTTTCTGGGATGAGAATCCACAGCTTTTATCAAATTCACAAGTGGATCTGTATTCCTTCACTCAAAACATAAAAGGCGTAAGAACCACAGAACTGAGGGATCCTTTCTCCAATAAAGATTCATAGAATTCCAGAGCATGTGATATGCAACTACAAAAGTGAAATTGTCATTTGGAAGAAGGTAAAATTTTCTTAATTAAAAAGCACTAAATGATAAGGTTCCAAGAGCCTGTTGGTTTCCGCAATTGCAAAATGTCATCCTCCAAATTAACATTAGGTTTCTGTAGGAGGCAGCCATTGGTAAAGCCGTATTTAGAAAGCAAGTTTCCATGATGAAAGTTAGGACTCAGAAAAGATGGACTTGGTGTTTCAAGAGCTCACCAAGTAAATTTTCTAGAAAGAAAGAAAGAAAGAGAGAGAGAGAGAGAAAGGAAGGAAGGAAGGAAGGAAGGAAGGAAGGAAGGAAGGAAGGAAGGAAGGAAATATTTTACCCACATAATTTTCTGAAAGTGAACAATTTTTTTAAATTATTCAATTGTGACCCAACTTTTAATTTCTGATGCACATTACAATATCACCATCTTGTGGAATATAGTAAAAATGCATGATTTTAGGTGGCTGCTCAGTCAGTGTTTCTCAGTGTGGTCAATGAACCCCTGAGGGTACCTGAGACATATTCAGGGGGTTCATGAGGTCAAAATTATTTTCATAATAATATGAAGATGTCGTTTGTCTTTTCCACTATGTTGACATCTGCATTGATGGCTCAAAAGCAATAGTAGGTAAAACTTCACGCACCTTAGCATAAATCATGGCAGTAATTCCAAATCATAAATCAAATTCCAAGTCATCGTGTTTTTCACTGCAATGCATTTGAAGAAAAAAAAATCCAGTTGCACTTAAGAATGATTTTCATGAAGTAGTAAAAAAAAGTTTTAATTTGGGAGACAAGCTTGTAGGACTCACTAAACACGAATTTGCTTTATTGTAAATTGTGTTTATAAAAAAATTCCTTAGAGAACTACGGAGTCTATGCTAGTAGACATTTATGAACATAACAGATAAGAAGCTTGTGCTTTAATCTTCACTCTTTCCATTAGAATCCATTGTGTTTTCTCATTTCTAAAATGGGGATACTCCTAGAAGTTGTTGCACTGTGTAGTCATAATAATTAAAGGCTGGATATAATGGCTTAGTAAGTACCAACTCTTCTAGTGTCTTTATGTTTCACCATGTGCCAAGAGTTTATTACAATATTTTACCTTGCCAGAAACTCTATAAAGTTGATATTATTTTCTCCCATTTAAGATGGGAAACTGAGACCAAAGAAAGTTTCAAGTCTCTTGCCTAAAGTCACACAGAAAAGTGAGTGGTAGAGGAGGACTTGAATTCAGGCAATTTTACTCCAGAAAAATAAAAGTCCCTTACAATTTCTGATTATTGGAAGAAATTAAAGAAGGTCATAAAGTAGTAGGAGTTGGCACAGTTAGCTGGGGGTCTAAAAATGATGAAGAGATAACACAAGATGGACAGAAGTTATAGTTGGGTCTCTACAAACAATTTATGAAAATTCGATATGCAACCTTAAAACAGGATGTAGACCTAAATATACAGAAACACCCAACCCTTTGTAATATTTTAACAAAAAATCATATGAATGAAATTAATAGTTCTAATTAAGTGGTGGACCTAAGAGCTGTATTAGTGCCAGCAAAATAACAGAACTAATATAGCATTGGAGTTGTCATGCAACAGCCTTGGCACGAGTGCTATCATTCTTTGGTCCTCCTGAAAGTTGAAAAGCAGAGTGCCTTGGGCATCCCAAAAAACTGTTGCCATGAAATTTACTTTAAGAAAAATGTAAGAGTGTCATCTTTTTTTATTCTATTTTTTTATTTCAATAGGTTCTTGGAGAACAGGTGGTGTTTGATTACGTGGATAAGTTCTTTACTAATGATATCCGAGATTTTGGTGCACTCATCACCCGAGCAGTATACACTATACCCAATGTGCAGTCTTTTATCTCTCACCCCCCTCCCACCCTTCCCAATGAGTCCGCAAGGTCCATCAAATCATAATTATGCCTTTGTGTCCTCGTAGCTAGCTTAGCTCCCACTTATAAGTGAGAACATATGGTGTTTGATTTTCCATTCCTGATTTACTTCATTTAGAATAATGATCTTCAACTCCATCCAGGTTGCTGCAAATGCCATTATTTTACTCCTTTTTATGGCTGAATAGTATTCCATGGTACACACACCATGGAATACCACTCAGTCATTTTATATATATATAAAATATATACACACACACAACCAAATATGCATATGTATACACCATAAATATACTATATATATATACACACCATATATACACTATATATACACACCATATATATACACACATATATATTCACACACATATATATGTGTGTGTATATATATATATGTACACACAACATTTTCTTTATCCACTTGTTAATTGATGGGCATTTGGGCCAGCTCCATATTTTTGCAATTGCAAATTGTGCTGCTATAAATATGCACGTGCAAATGTCTTTTTCATATAATGACTTCCTTTCCTCTGGGCAGATATCCAGTGATGGGATTGCTGGATCAAATGTTAGTTCTACTTTTAGTTTTTTAAGGAATCTCCATATTGTTTTCCACAATGGTTGTATTAATTTACATTCTGACTGGCAGTGTAAAAGTGTTCCCTTTTCACTACATCCACAAGAACATCTATTGTGTTTTGATTTTTTAATTATGGCCATCCTTGCAGGAGGAAGGTGGTATTGCATTGTGGTTTTGATTTGCATTTCCCTGATATTTAGTGATGCTGAGCATTTTTTCATATGTTTGTTGGCCATTGGTGTATCTTCTTTTGAGAATATGGCTTTTCATTGGTAGCTTGATGGGGATGGCATTGAAATTATAAATTACCTTGGGCAGTATGGCCATTTTCACGATATTGATTCTTCCTACCCATGAGCATGGAATGTTCTTCCATTTGTTTGTATCCTCTTTTATTTCCTTGAGCAGTGGTTTGTAGTTCTCCTTGAAGAGGTCCTTCACATCCCTTGCAAGTTGAATTCCTAGGTATTTTATTCTCTTTGAAGCAATTGTGAATGGGAGTTCACTCATGATTTGGCTCTCTGTTTGTCTGTTATTGGTGTATAAGAAATGCTTGTGATTTTTGTACATTGATTTTGTATACTGAGACTTTGCTGAAGTTGCCTATCAGCTTAAGGAGATTTTGGGCTAAGACGATGGGGTTTTCTAGATACAAAATCATGTCATCTGCAAACAGGGACAATTTCACTTCCTCTTTTCCTAATTGAATACCCTTTATGTCTTTCTCCTGCTTGATTGCCCTGGCCAGAACTTCTAACACTATGTTGAATAGGAGTTGTGAGAGAGGGCATCCCTGTCTTGTGCCAGTTTTCAAAGGGAATGCTTCCAGTTTTTGCCCATTCAGTATGATATTGTGGGTTTGTCATAAATAGCTCTTATTTTGAGATACATCCCATCAATACCTAATTTATTGAGAGTTTTTAGCATGAAGGGCTGTTGAATTTTGTCAAAGGCCTTTTCTGCATCTATTGAGATAATCATGTGGTTTTTGTCGTTGGTTCTGTTTATATGCTGGATTATGTTTATTGATTTGTGTATGTTGGACCAGCCTTGCGTCACAGGGATGAAGCCCACTTGATCATGATGGATAAGTTTTTGATGTGCTGCTGGATTCGGTTTGCCAGTATTTTATTGAGGATTTTTGCATTGATGTTCATCAGGGATATTGGTCTAAAATTCTCTTTATTTGTTGTGTCTCTGCCAGCTTTGGTATCAGGATGATACTGGCCTCATAAAATGAGTTAGGGAGGATTCTCTCTTTTTCTATTGATTGGAATAGTTTCAGAAGGAATGGTACCAGCTCCTCCCTTGTACCTCTGGTAGAATTCGGCTGTGAATTCATCTGGTCCTGGACTTTTTTTGGTTGGTAAGCTATTAAATATTGTCTCAATTTCAGAGCCTGTTATTGGTCTATTCAGAGATTCAACTTCTTCCTGGTTCAGTCTTGGGAGGGTGTATGTGTCAAGGAATTTATCCGTTTCTTCTAGATTTTCTAGTTTATTTGCATAGAGGTGTTTATAGTATTCTCTGATGGTAGTTCGTATTTCTGTGGGATCGGTGGTGATATCCCCTTTATCATTTTTTATTGCATCTATTTGATTCTTCTCTCTTTTCTTCTTTATTAGTCTTGCTAGCAGCCTATCAATTTTGCTGATCCTTTCAAAAAACCAGCTCCTGGATTCATTGATTTTTTGAAGGTTTTTTTGTGTCTCTATTTCCTTCAGTTCTGCTCTGATTTTAGTTATTTCTTGCCTTCTGCTAGCTTTTGAATGTGTTTGCTCTTGCTTCTCTAGTTCTTTTAAGTGTGATGTTAGGGTGTCAATTTTAGATCTTTCCTGCTTTCTCTTGTGGGCATTTAGTGCTATAAATCTCCCTCTACACACTGCTTTGAATGTGTCCCAGAGATTCTGGTATGTTATGTCTTTGTTCTCATTGGTTTCAAAGAACATCTTTATTTCTGCCTTCATTTCGTTATGTACCCAGTAGTCATTCAGGAGCAGGTTGTTCAGTTTCCATGTAGTTGAGTGGTTTTGAGTGAGTTTCTTAATCCTGAGTTGTAGTTTGATTGCACTGTGGTCTGAGAGACAGTTTGTTACAATTTCTGTTCTTTTACATTTGCTGAGGAGTGCTTTACTTCTAACTCTGTGGTCAATTTTGGAATAGGTGTGGTGTGGTGCTGAAAAGAATGTGTATTCTCTTGATTTGGGGTGGAGAGTTCTGTAGATGTCTATTAGGTCCACTTGGTGCAGAGCTGAGATCAATTCCTGGATATCCTTGTTAACTTTCTGTCTCGTTGATCTGTCTAATGTTGACAGTGGGGTGTTAAAGTCTCCCATTATTATTGTGTGGCAGTCTAAGTCTCTTTGTAGGTCTCTAAGGACTTGCTTTATGAATCTGGGTGCTCCTGTATTGGGTGCATGTATATTTAGGATAGTTAGCTCTTCTTGTTGAATTGATCCCTTTACCATTATGTAATGGCCTTCTTTGTCTCTTTTGATCTTTGTTGGTTTAAAGTCTGTTTTATCAGAGACTAGGATTGCAACCCCTGCCTTTTTTTGTTTTCCATTTGCTTGGTAGATCTTCCTCCATCCCTTTCTTTTGGGCCTATGTGTGTCTCTGCACATGAGATGGGTTTCCTGAATACAGCACACTGATGAGTCTTGACTCTTTATCCAATTTGCCAGTCTGTGTCTTTTAATTGGAGCATTTAGCCCATTAACATTTAAGGTTAATATTGTTATGTGTGAATTTGATCCTGTCATTATGATGTTAGCTGGTTATTTTGCTCATTAGTTGATGCAGTTTCTTCCTAGCCTCGATGGTCTTTACAATTTGGCATATTTTTGCAGTAGCTGGTACTGGTTTTTCCTTTCCATGTTTAGTGCTTCCTTCAGGAGTTCTTTTAGGGCAGGCCTGGTGGTGACAAAATCTCTCAGCATTTGCTTGTCTGTAAAGGATTTTATTTCTCCTTCACTTATGAAGCTTAGTTTGGCTGGATATGAAATTCTGGGTTGAAAATTCTTTTCTTTAAGAAAGTTGAATATTGGCCGCCACTCTCTTCTGGCCTGTAGAGTTTCTGCCAAGAGATCTGCTGTTAGTCTGATGGGCTTCCCTTTGTGGGTAACCCAACCTTTCTCTCTGACTGCCCTTAACATTTTTTCATTCGTTTCAACTTTGGTGAATCTGACAATTATGTGTCTTGGAGTTGCTCTTCTTGAGGAGTATCTTTGTGGCATTCTCTGTATTTCCTGAATGTGAATGTTGGCCTGCCTTGCTAGATTGGGGAAGTTCTCCTGGATAATATCTTGCAGAGTGTTTTCCAACTTGGTTCCATTCTCCCTGTCACTTTCAGGTACACCAATCAGATGTAGATTTGGTCTTTTCACATAGTCCCATATTTCTTGGAGGCTTTGTTCGTTTCTTTTTATTCTTTTCTCTCTAAACTTCTCGCTTCATTTCATTCATTTGATCTTCCATCACTGATACCCTTTCTTCCAGTTCATTGAATCAGCTACTGAGGCTTGTGCTTTTGTCACATAGTTCTCCTGCCATGGTTTTCAGCTCCATCAGGTCTTTTAAGGACTTCTCTGCATTGTTTATTCTATTTAGCCATTTGTCTAATTTTTTTTCAAGGTTTTTAACTTCTTTGCCATGGGTTTGAACTTCCTCCTTTAGCTCAGAGTAGTTTGATCATCTGAAGCATTCTTCTCTCAACTCATCAAAGTCATTCTCCATCCAGCTTTGTTCCGTTGCTGGTGAGGAGCTGTGTTCCTTTGGAGGGGGAGAGGTGCTCTGATTTTTAGAGTTTCCAGTTTTTCTGCTCTGTTTTTTCCCCATCTTTGTGGTTTTATACACCTTTGGTCTTTGATGATGGTGACGTACAGATGGGTTTTTGGTATGGGTGTCCTTTCTGTTTGTTAGTTTTCCTTCTAACAGTCAGGACCCTCAACTGCATGTCTGTTGGAGTTTGCTGGAGGTCCACTCCAGACCCTGTTTGCCTGGGTATCAGCAGCGGAGGCTGCATAACAGCAGATATTGGTGAACAGCAAATGTTGCTGCCTGATCATTCCTCTGGAAGTTTTGTCTCAGAGGAGTACTCGTCTGTGTGGTGTCAGTCTGCCTCTACTGGGGGGTGCCTCCCAGTTAGGCTACTCGGGGATCAGGGACCCAGTTGAGGAGGCAGTCTGTCCATTCTCAGATCTCAAGAATACAGTTCTTCATTCACTCCCTTGAAGTTAGGCATGTCTATTTGACCTAACTCCAGCCAGTGAAATTTGAGCAGAATTTAAGTGCATCACAGGCAAAGCCAGCATTTGAGTGTCATTGATTGACTCTCTAGACCTCTCTTTTCCTGCTTTAGCAAACTTGCAAGTACCTACTGAGATGTTAGAGAGTCTGTAAGTCTGGGTACCTGAGTGACTACATTGAGTACCCTGTGGACTTTTATGGAACAAATAGTGAAAATGTATTTTTGTTTCAAGTTATCAAGATTTATGAAATATTTCTTAGCACAACATAAACTAGTTTATCATGTGTAATTCACTCCCTGCCACTTTCCTATTGTTCAGTCATTTTCTGCTAGAGCCTGTTTATGTGGCTGTGGCAGACATGTTTTACATGACTGCCAATCCATATTTCTCTCCTCCCAGAACTAACCCCTACCCCCCATAGGGATAGGTTTCCCCCTTCCCTTGGCCAAAGGTAAATATCTGACCAATGTGATCTGCTCAGATTTTATATCCCAGGAATTTGAAAGTAATGATTGAGAGAAAAAGTCAGGACTCGTTTCTGATCTGTGTTCTCTAAGCAGGAGATGACTTGGGAAAATGTAATCCTGGGAGCTATGAAATGGCCATGTTTGGATTTATACACACCAACAAAATTAAAGTTATCTAGAAAGAGCGTGAGAGGAAAAAAAGGAAAGAGAGGAAAAGAAAAAGAAGGCACAGGAGGAGGAGGGGCAAGAGCAGAAGGAGAAGGAGAAAAAGAGAGAGCAAGAGGGAGAGGGAAGAGAGGGGCAGACAATTAGATGTGCAGGAAAAAGTAGAGATGAGAATTTGTGCCAATGACCCTAATGCTTTCCTGGTTCTAGTTCCATTAACTCATGAGACTGCATGTCCTGCCTTT
Organism: Homo sapiens; assembly: GCF_000001405.40. NCBI lineage: Eukaryota > Metazoa > Chordata > Mammalia > Primates > Hominidae > Homo > Homo sapiens. The sequence goes on along the minus strand of NC_000023.11, from coordinate 78,548,404 downwards.
GGGTTTTGTGAGTTGCCTCCATTTCTTTATAATACATTGCCTTTACTCCTTAAGTTCATTTGAAATGGGTTTCTATAACTTACAACCCACATTAAGCAAGAAGGTCTGACTGCTAGCCCTAGGTCTTACCCACTTAGAATCAATCTAATGCTTAGTTCACTTATGTGTCATCCATGATTCAACCAGTTAAGTGTGTGAGCAAGAATCCATTCACCCAGGGAAAATAAATATAGAGAAAAAAACAACACATTAAAGAATGACTCCACTTAAGGGGCAAGAAAAACGAATGGAAGCAAGAAATGAGATATAGGAAGTGTGTTCGGAGACATCAGAGGATTTATTCAATAAACATTGATTGAGTGCTTACTAGATGCCAACTGCTGATTCATGAAATAGGGATATGACATCAATCAAGACAGACACAAGTCTCTGTTTTTGTCAAGTTTGCATTCTAGTCATGGTGGATAGGCAGTAAGCAAATAAATGAGTAAATGAACAAAAATATCAAGTAGTGATAAATAATTGGTTGAGATGAAAATTGAATAATTGGGTGTCAGTTGCCTTTCCAAAGAGATGACATTTAAGATGACTTAAGGTGAATAATCAATACAGAACTTTCACAGAAACCAAGAAAGAAAGACATTCCCGGTTTTAAAAATTGACTGAAAATGCTTTAGTTTAACATTGGTGGCCTCAGAGAGGGTAGTTTTGGTAAAACAGAGAAAGATAGGAGAGAATTAACAAGGAAAGAAGCCTGAGGAGTAAGAAGAGCACAAATCCAGAATGCAATGGATTAGGATTGAGTCATAGAACTCAATCCTAAATTTGCATGCCCTAAGGGAATGCAAAATAGCATACACACTTTTGAAAACAGTTTGGCAGTTTTAAAAAAAGTTAAACGTACGCTGTTGCTATAGCCAAGAAATTTCCATTTTAGGTATATACCCAGGAGAAATGAAAACATGGGTTCACATAAAGACTTGTACATAAATGTTCATAATAGCTTTTTTCAAAACAGCACAAAAGTTGCAGGAACCCAGACTGAAAGATCAGTGAAGTGATAAACAAATGGTAATATATTCAAACAATGGAATACTATTCAGCATTAAAAAATGGATAAGCAACATGGAAAAGTTATCAATGAAATTTGCTAAATGAAAAAAGCCTAACTCAAAAAGTTACGTATTATATTATTCCATATATATGACATTCTGGAAATGCAAAATTATAGGGACAGAAATCAAAGGGTTTCCACTGACTGAGGAGGGAAATGTGGCTGACTTCAAAAAAGCAGCACATTAAAATTTGAGGGAAAAGTGTAATGATGCATTTTTATACATGACACAGAGTTAATTTTGGTGTGTGTGTGTGTGTGTGTGTCCTGGAGTTTCTAACAACCTAGTTTTTTGTTAAAAAAAAAAAAGGTTACACTAAGGTTTCCTTTTAAAGGTGTGAGGCATTTGATATCTCTCAATTTAACTTGATTAATTGTCCTCGAGCAGAGAGTAGGTGCATAAACACATCATTGAAAATTTGACAGGTAAATTAATAGAGCTGAGAAGGTGAGACAGAACATTAAATCATCTCCAGGAAAAAAAATGCAGTCTGGGAAGCCTATAGAAAATGGTCAACCATTCTAGTAGCCACCGACTTCCTCAGGCTAAACAACAGAAACCATGAATTAAGACCACTATGAGGTCTACTCAATGCCAAACAGTAAGAAATATGCCTAGGAATGAACCTTAAAAAAATGATCAACAAGCAGTCTGAGAGAAGCCCAGCAGATGATTAGAGTTTATTCATGCTGAGAGAAAACAAAATGGGAAACAAAGATCACAAATCAAAGAGAAACTCATAGATCAAAGATAAACGCTAACATCTAAATAAATTTAAATAGTCCCATAGATGGTGTGGGAGTTTTGCTAGTCTCATTTATAAAATTAGGATAAAACCTACCAACTAAGGATAGGAGTCTAGATTAGATGATCTCAAAATCCCTTCTTGCTTAAACTCTCTTAAATCCCTTGCTTTTGGAGAGAAAATTGTCTTCTGAATACTGAACTGATTATGCAGAAAAGATGAATATTGTTAAATATGATTAAGATATGTATAGGATAAACATGTTTTGAAACTATCCTTTAGAAATTCCAGATACAGATGAATTTTGTCAAAGGAGATTTACGTGAAAGAATATTTTTTCTTTGAAAAGAACTTGAATTATGTTTGATATTTTGAATGCTTCAGAGAAATATCTCCTTTGTGTCACTGAAACTGCCTGTGTCCTAATATGTCACTGATAACTGAGTCTCCAGATAACAGAAAGATCTTTCCTATCATTGCAAATAATGACATTTAATGCCTACTGGATTAGGGTAAAAGAAAGTCACCTAGCCAACAGCAGCTTGAAAGATAATAAGAAATGCCAAGGCACTGGTAGAGCCAAGATGGCTGACTAGGCATAGCCACTGAGATCTTCTCCCAGCAACAAAGACCAAATCATCAAGTAGACCTACACACTCTGAACAGATCTTTGGAAAGAAGGTGTTGAGAGTGGATAGAGGGAGGACACTCACTTGGGTTGAAAAAGGAGGAAGCTGGGAACCCCACATTGGGTTGCCAAGCACCAGGACTTATTTCTGACCCTAAGTGGCTCCTAAAATAGGGATAAGATAAGTAAGTATAAAGTGGCCCAGTCTCATCAGATGCCTTAGGGATCCTAGCTGCAGAAGACTCCATGGACCTCACAGATATCTCAGGTGGCCAGGAGAACTGCCAAGCAATTTGGCAGACACAGAATGTCCATCTGCATGAAGCCCAGAGTGTTTGGCACAGAAATAACTGCAGTGGAGCATGATTGTGGATGCCCATCTCCTAGGCTTGCCATAATCCTCTAAATGGCTCCAGCCATTGTTGGCTACCAGGCCTTGACAGAGCAGGGTTGCCTTGCCCTGGAATGAGGCCAATGTAATCTGAGCACTGCCAGGTCTGCCAGTTTCACCCAGATTCCCTGCCTGTCCACACTCACTTGCATCATAATCTCAAGAGGACACTTATCACAGCATATTCACTGGAATACCCCACCTAACCTTCAAATCACTCCTGCAGATGGACCCCTGCAAGCATGCAGCCATCTGCAGCCTCTCCTCACCAACACACACCAATCCACAGATCCCCCCACTGGTGTCACACACCTACCTGTAGCCTTCCCCCACCAGCATGCACTGACCAACAGCCTTCCCCTGGGAGTGTGCACTCTCCCACAGACACCCCTAGCTGCCTCACCGGTTTCCATGTGAGTGTGGATCCACTGCTGCCCAACCACCATGCACGTGTATGGGGACCCTCACTGGTATTCACATGCCTGGAGGCCAACTGCTGCCCCACCAGAGTGTTTTTGCTGGCAGCCTCAGTCAGAATATAATTGCGAAAAGACTAGAGGAGCACCTCAGCCTCTCCACTGCAACAGACGCTTAACCTTGAAGGGCCAAAAAACAAGGCTGTGGGCCTAGTCCCAGCCCCTCAGTGTTAGATTATGTAGCCCAGGAGAGTTGAGCTGAGACTTGGTCCTCTGGAAGCATCCAGAAGTAAAGCCAATTGAGTAATCTCACTTATACCATAGTCAAATTCTCAAGGACATCAAAGAATATAAAAGCAAAAACCTCCATCCAAAAGAGAGCAACTTCAAGGATTAAATAAACATTAGACCACACAGTTGAGAAAGAATCAGTGCAAGAACTCTGGCAAATCTAAAAGCCAGGGTATCTTCTTACCTCCAAATAGCCACACTAACTCCCCAACAATGGTTCTTAACTAGACTTAAATGGCTGAAATGACAGACACTGAAGTCAGAATCTGGATGTCAAGGAAGCTCATTGACATAAAGGAGAAGGTTGAAACCCAGTGCAAGAAATACAGTAAAAGAGTCCAAGAGTTGAAAAGTGGCATGGCCATTTCAACAAAGAACCAAAGTGAACTTGTGGAAATAAAAAATTTACTACAGGAATTTCAGAATGCAAATGGAAGCATTAATAACAGAATAGACCAAACTGAGGAAAGAATCCTAGAGCTCAAAGACTGCTCCTTTGAATCAACACTGGCAGAAAAATATAAAGAGAAAATAATTTAACAAAATGAAGAAAGCATATGAGAAATATGAGATTATGTAAAGAAAACAAACTTATAACTCATTGACATTTCTGAAAAAGACAGAGAAAGAACAAGCAACTAGAAAAACATATATATGAGGATATCATACATGAAAATTTTTCCAACCTCTCTAGAGAGGTCAACATGCAAATTCAGGATATTCAGAGAACCCCTGTGAGATACTATAGAATATGACCATCACCAAGACACACATCATCAGATTCTCCAAAGTCTATGTAAAAGAAAAAAGTGTTAAGGGCAACTAGAGAGAAGGGGCTGATCATGAGCAAAGGGAACCCCAAAGGTGAACAGTGGAACTTTCAGCACAAACCATACAAGCCAGAAGACATTAGGGGCCTATATTCAGCATCTTTCAAGAAAAGAAATTCCAACCAAGAATTTTATATACAGTCAAACTAAGTTTTATGAGTGAAGGAGAAAAAAATATTTTTTAGACAATAAAATGCTAAGGAAATTTGATATCACCAAATCTGCCTTACAAGATGTCCTTAAAGGAGGGCTAAACATGTAAATAAAAGACAGTTACCTGCCACCATAAAAGCTCACTTCAGTACATAGCCCAATGACACTAAAAAGCAACTATAGAAATCAAGTCTAGAAAACAACCAGCTTGCAACATAAAGACAGATATAAATCCTTACATATCAATATTAATCTTAAACATAAACAAGCTAAACACCCCAGTTAAAAGACACAGACTGGTAAGTTGGATAAAGAAGCAAGATCCAAATGTATGCTGCCTTCAAGAGACCCATCTCACATGCAATGGCACCGATAAACTCAAAGTAAAGGGATGGAGGCAGATCTATAAAACAAACAGAAATAAAAAGAAGAGTGGTTATTCTCATTAAAGACAAAACAGGCTTTAAATAAACAATTATCAAAAAGGACAAAGAAGGGCATTATACAATGATAGAGGGTTAAATTCAACAAGAAGACATAACTAATCTGAATATATGAGAAACCAACACTGTAGCACCCAGATTTATAAAACAAGTTCTAAGAGACTTATGAGAAGACTTAGATAATCACACAATAAGGATATGAGACTTCCACACACCACTGACAGTGCTAAACAGATAATCAAGGCAAAAAACTAACAAAGATATTCAGGACTTAAACTCAACTCTTGACCAAATGGAACTAACAGACATCTACAGAATACTTCATCCTACAACAACCAAATATACATTCTTCTTATCTGAACATGGCACATACTCTAACATTAACAAGACTCTGCCATAAAGCAATTCTCAATAAATTCAAATAATGGAAATCATACAAATAACACTCCTGAACAACAGTGCAATAAAAATATAAATGAACACTAAGAAGATGTCTCAAAACCATACAGTAATATGGAAATTTAAAAATCTGCTTCTGAATGACTGTTAGGTAAATAATGAAATTAAGGCAGACATCAATAAATTCCCTGAAATGAATGAAAACAAAGATAACACATAGCAAAATATCTGGGACATAGCTAAAGCAGTGTTAAGAGAAAAGTTTGTAGTGCTAAATGTTTACATCAAGAAGTTAGAAAGATCTCAACAACCTAACATCACACCTAGAGGAACTAGAAAAACAAGAGTAAACCCACCCCAAAGCTATCAGAAGACAATAAATAACTAAAATTAGAGCTAAGTTGAAGAAAATTGAGACATAACGATCCATCCAAAAGATCAACAAAACAAAAAGTTGGTTCTTTCAAAGAATAAATAAGACCGATAGGCCACTAGCTAGATGAATTAAGAAGAAAGGGAGAAGATTCAAATAAAAACTATCATAAATGACAAAGTAGGTATTACCACTGACCCCACAGAAATACAAAAAACTTTCAGAGACTATTATGAACAACTTTATGCACACAAACTAGAAAACCTAGAGGTGGATAACTTTCCAAGATTTAACCAGGAAGAAATAGAAATCGTGAGCTGACAAATAACAAGTTTTGAAGTTGAATCAGTAATAATAAACCTACCAACCAGAAAAAGCACTGGATCAGAAAAATACACAACCAAATTCAACCATATGTATAAAGAAGAGCTGGTACTCATCCTACCCAAATTATTCCAAAATATTGAGGGGAAAAGATTCCTCTTTTACTTACTCTATGAGACCAGTATTATTCTGATTCCAAAATCTGGCAGAGACACAATGAATAAAGAAAACTTTATGCCAATATCCCTGATGAACATAGACACAAAAATTCTCAACAAAATACTAGCAAACTGAATCCTTGAACACACCAGAAAGCTAATCCACCATGATCAAGTGGGCTTTATTCCTGAGAAGCAAGGTTGGTTCAACATACACAAATCAATAACTGTGATTCAGCACATAAAATAACTAAAAACAGAAATTATATCATCATCTCAATAGATGCAGAAAAGGCTTTTGATAAAATTCAACATCCCTTTATGTTGAAACCCCTTAACAAACTAGGCATTGAAGAAACATAGTTCAAAATAATAAGAGCCATCTATGACAAACCCACAGCCATCACACTCAACAGGAAAAAGTTGCAAATATTACCCCTAAGAACCAGAATAAGATAAAGATGCCCACTCTCACCACTCCTATTCAACATAGTACCCAAAGTCCTAGCCAGACAAATTAGGCAAGAGTAATAAATAAAAGGTATCTGAATAAAAACAGAGAAAGTCAAACTGTCTCTCATTGCAGGCAATATAAGTCTATACTAGAACATACCATATTCTGCCCAAAGCTTTCAAGATCTGATAAACAACTCCAGCAAAGTTTCAAGGTACAAAATCAATGTACAAAAATCAGTAGTATTAATATTTCTATACACCAATAACATTCAACCTGAAAGCCAAATCAAGATTACAATCCTATTCACAATAGCCACAAAAAGAATAAATTACCTAGAAATACAGCTAACCAGGAAGGGATAAATCTGTACAAGAATTATAAAACACTGCTGAAATAAATTATAGACAATACAAACAAATGGAGAAACATTCCATGTTCATGGATAGAAAAATAAATATTGTTAAAATAGCTATATTTCCCAAAGCAATTTACAGATTCAGGCTATTATTTTTAAATTACTGGTGTTGTTTCTCACAGAATTATAAAAATCTATTCTAAAGTTCATTTGGAACCAAAAAAGGGCCTGAATAGCCAAAGTAATCTTAAACAAAAAGTACAAAGCCAGAGGAATTACACTACCCAACTTCAAACTATATTACAAATCTACAGTAGCCAAACATCATGATACCGGTACAAGAACAAAGAGACCAAGGGAACAGAATAAAGAACACAGATATAAAGCCACACTCCTACACCCATGTGATCTTTGACAAAGTTGAGAACAACAAGTAATAGGAAAAGGATTGTGCTGGGATAACTGGTTAGCCATATTCAGCATATTGAAACTGGACCCCTTCCTTTTGCCGTATACAAAAATCAATTTGCATTGGATTAAAGACTTAAATGTAAGACCTAAAACTACAAAAAAAAAGAAGGTCTAGGACATACCCTTCTGAATATAGGCCTAGAAAAACTTTTCATGAGGAAGTCTCCAAAAGCAATTGAACCAAAAACAAAAATAAGCAAGTGGGATCTAGTTAAACTAAAGAGCTTCTGCACAGAACAAAAAATTATCAAAAAAATAAAGAAATAACCTATGGAATGGAAGAACATATTTGCAAACTATACATCTGTCAAAGGTCTAATATGCAAAATCCAGAAGGAATTTAAATCAGCATGCAGAAAAACAAACATCACTATTGAGAAATGGAAAAGAACATTCCCAGGACCTTCTCCAAAAACAACGTACAAGTGGTCAACAAACATATTTTAAAATGGTCAGCATGACTAATGATTAGAAAGATGCACATTAAAACCAGAATGAGATACTATCTGATATGGTTTGGCTCTGTGTCCCCATCTAAATCTCATCTTGTAGCTCCCATAATTTCCATGTGTTGTGGGAGGAACCCAGTGGGAGATAATTAAATCATGGGGGCGTGTCTTTCCCATGCTGTTATTGTGATGGTGAATGGGTCTCATGAGGTCTGATGGTTTTAAAAAACAAGAGTTCCTCTGCAAGAGCACTTTCTTTGCCTGCTGCCATCCATGTAAGATGTGACTTGCTCCTCCTTGCCTTCTGCCATGATTGTGATGACTTCCCAGCCACGTGGAACTGTAAGTCATTAAACCTCTTTCTTTTGTAAATTTCCTAACCTCGGGTGTGTCTTTATCAGCATCATGAAAATAGACTAATACAGTACATTGGTACTGGGAGTGGGGTTTTGCTGAAAAGATACCCAAAAATGTGGAAGTGGCTTTAGAACTGGGTAACAGGCAGAGGTTGGAACAGTTTGAAGGGCTCAGGAGAAGACAGAATAATGAAGGAAAGTTTGGAACTTCCTAGAGACTTGTTGAATGGCTTTGACAAAAATGTTGATAGCAATATGTACAATTAAATCCAGGCTGAGGTGGTCTCAGATGAAAATGAAGAACTTGTTGGGAAATGGATCAAAAAACATGACTATTGTTATGTTTTAGCAAAGAGACTGGCAGCATTTTGCCCCTGCCCTAGAGATTTTTGAAACTTTGAAATTGAGAGAGATGATTTAGGGTATCTGGTGGAAGAAATTTCTAAGCAGCAATGTATTCAAGATTTTACATGGGTGCTGTTAAAAACATTGTTTCATAAGGGAAGAAGAGCATAAAAGTTCAGAAAATTTGCAGTCTGACAATGCAATAAAGAAGAAAATCTCATTTCCTGAGGAGAAATTCAAGCCTGCTGCAGAAATTTGCCTAACTAACCAGGAGCCAAATGTTAATCCCCAAGACAATGGGGAAAATGTCTCTAGGGTATGTCAGAGACCATTGTGGCAGCCCCTCCCATCACAGGCCTGGAGGCCTAGAAGGAAAAAGTGGTTCCACGGGCCAGGCCAAGGGTCCCCATGCTGTGTGCAACCTAGGGCATTGGTGCCCTGTGTCCTAGCGACTCCAGCCATGGCTGAAAGGAAAAAAGGTATAGGTCAGGCCTTGGTTTCAGAGGGTGCAGGCCTCAAGCCTTGGCAGCTTCCACATGGTGTTGAGCCTGTGAGTGCACAGAAGTCAAGAATTGAGGTTTGGGAACCTCCACTTTGATTTCAGAAGATGTATGGAAACACCTGGATTCCCAGGCAGAAGTTTGCTGCAGGGGTGAGATCCTCATGGAGAACCTCTGCTAGGGCAGTGTGAAAGGGAAATGTGGGTTGGGAGCCCCTACTGGGGCACCACCTAATGGAGCTGTGAGAAGAGGGCCACCATTCTCCAGACCCCAGAATGGTAGTTCCACTAACAGCTTGCACCATGCACCTGATAAAGCTGCAGACACTCAATGCCAGCCCGTGAAAGCAGCTAGGAGGAAGGCTGTACCCTGCCAAGCCACAGAGACGGAGCTGCCATGGGAATCCACCTATTACATCATTGTGACCCAGATGCAAGACCTGGAGTCAAAGGAGATCATTTTGGAGCTTTAAGATTTGACTGTCCTGTTGGATTTTGGACTTGCATGGGGCCTGTAGGCCCTCTGTTTTGGCCAATTTCTCTTATTTGGAACAGCTATATTTACCCAATGCCTGTACCCCCATTGTATCTAGGAAGTAACTAACTTGATTTTGATTTTACAGGCTCATAGGCAGAAGGGACTTTCCTTGTCTCAGATCAGATGTTGGACTGTGGACTTTTAAGTTGACACTGAAATGAGTTAAAACTTTGAGGGACTGTTGGGAAGGCATGATTTGTTTTGAAATGTGAAGATACAAGATTTGGGAAGGGCCGGGGTGGAATGAAATGGTTTGGTTCTGTGTTCCCACCCAAATCTCATCTTCTAGCTCCCATAATTCCCACATGCTGTGAGAGGGACCACAAGGGAGTGAATGAATGAATCCTGGAGGTGGGTCTTTTCCATGCTATTCTCGTGAGAGTGAATAGGTCTCATGAGATCTGATGTTTTTTAAAAATGGGAGACTCTCCACACAAGCCCTCTATTTGCCTGCCTCCATCCACGTAAGATGTGACTTGCTCCTCCTTGCCTTTTGCCATGATTGTGAGAGGCATGAAAACAGACTAATACACCTTCTCACTCACACTAGTAAGAATGGCTATTATTACAAAGTCAGAAAATAACAGATTGTCACAAGGTTGCAGAAAAAAGGAATGCTTATTATACACTACCAGTGGGAATGTAAATTAGTTCCGTCACTGTGGAAAACAATTGGAAGATTCATCAGAGAACTCAAAGCAGAACTACCTTTTGACCCAGCAATCCCATTATTGGGTATACACCCAAAGGAATATAAATCATTCTATCAATAAGACACTTGCACTTATATGTTAATCACAGCATCATTCACAATAGCCAAGACATGATATCAATCTAGATGCCCATCAATGGTGGACTAGATAAAGAAAATGTGGTACATATACACCATGGAATGGTGACCAGATTATCCATGGAATGGTGACCAAGTTATAATATGCAAAATCCAGAGGAATTTAAACCAGCAAACAAAAATTTGGCCATAAAAAATGAAATTATGTCCTTTGAAGCAACATAAATGCTCCTGGAGGCCATTAACCTAAGCAAATTAATGCAAGAACAGAAAACCATATACTGCATGCTCCCACTTATAAGTGGGAGCTAAACATTGAGCACACATGTACACAAAGAGAGGAACATAGACACCAGAGCCTACTTGACGGTGGAGGGTAGGAGGAGGGTGAGAGTTGAAAAACCATCGAGTACTATCCTCACTACCTGAGTGATGAAATCATTTGTATAAAAAATCCCAGAGACATGAAATTTACCCATTAAAAAGCCTGCACATGTAGCCCATGAACCTAAATAAAAGTTGAAAGAGAAATAATAGAAACATCAAAGCAGAAGACAAGAAATATAGCTTAGAAAAAATAGTATGAAGCTGCTTTGGAAAATGTAATGAACATTATCCTTTTATTTTATCGGACTTGCTTTGGGTAGATGACAAAGGTGACATTTGTTCCATTCAGAAAATTAAAAGCTAGACCTCCACAATGTTATTTATTCATGGGAAATATCTGGGTAGTGCAGAATCACTCATCAGTCAAGCAGGGTAATGCTTATCTGGGAGTGGGGGGTCAGGCTTCTAACAACCTCACTCATCTGGAATGCAGCCACAAAACTAGAATTCAGGAGGAATCGTCTCTATCCAAAGATAAAGATATGGTCAAGTCTGCCAATTTTTCTCAAAGACAATTGACTTAGCATTATATCAAAAACATAATGTCTCTAGTTAAATAAATTTCTTCTTTATCTGTTTTCTCCTAGCATCTCTCAGTTTGGCCTGTTACAGAAGACTACAGATATGATCATGGATAAACCCAACGAAAATCAGTATCTGACAATATGTAAAATGACATGGTAGTGTCATTAAATTGAGACCTGAAATTGTGGATCAGTTTAACCCAGAGTCACAGTTAGGCAAACCACAAAGCAATCTAAGAGGAGATCACAGCATAACAGCATTGCACCACTTATGTGGCTATTAAGGACCCTGCATCAAACAACAAAAAGATTACTTTTTTTTGTTCAAATCCATTTATCTGTTTATTTAAGCAGGAAAACAAATGTAATACATCTTAGAGTGCCACCTAAAATAGTTAAATGTTCCAATGTTTTAGTACTTAAAGGGGAAAATTCCATGATCCTCAATACCACCAGGTCAATGAGGCTTTCGTGTTCACTGGAAGTACTCTATGTGCCAAGCTTATGTAGAGAATAATTTAATTGAATTAAAAAATGTGCTATCAATGAACTATTTTATACAAGACATGAACTAGAGGCTGAGGTCAGGGAAGGTATTGCAAATGACAAAGGCATAAACTCTGTGCTGTAGTCATGGAGAGAAGCAAGGAAACAGGTAACTAGTTCAAGGAAGATGGTGAGAAATGCTGGCAAAACGAGATTATATGTAATGACAAGAAGTGGGACAAAGGAAGGGTTCTGCATTTGGCCTAGGGGAGATTTGGCAAGGCCCCTGGGACTGGCTAACATTTGAGCAGATCCTGAAGAATTTAGCAGGTGAAAGGTAGAGCAAAGTGATAGAAGTATATAGTAAATTTAAACAAAGGCAAGTATTCTGGTGTATCTAGAGAGTGACGGATTATGGTAAGAGATAAGGCAGGAAAGATAATTGAAGATGGCCTTGAGTTAAAAGATGAGTTTTTAATTTTGTCCTACTGGCAATGGGTAGCCATTGCCAATTTAAGCAAGAGAATGATATAAGTAAAGTTTTTTTAATACATATATATTTTATTATACTTTAAGTTCTAGGGTACATGTGCACAATGTGCAGGTTTGTTACATATGTTTACATGTGCCATGTTGGTGTGCTGCACCCATTAACTCGTCATTTACATTAGGTATATCTCCTAATGCTATCCCTCCCCCCTCCCCCCACCCCACAACAGGCCTCGGTGTGTGACGTTCCCCTTCCTGTGTCCAAGTGTTCTCATTGTTCAATTCCCACCTATGAGTGAGAACACGCGGTGTTTGGTTTTTTGTCCTTGCATGGATGAAGCTGGAAACCATCATTCTCAGCAAACTATCACAAGAAAAGTTTTTATTAAGGATAACTGATATAGGCCAGCTGCAGTGGCTCATGCCTGTAATCCAAAAACTTTGGGAGGCCAAGGATGGTGGATCACTTGAAGTCAGGAGTTCGAGACCTGCCTGGCCAACATGGTGAAACCCTATCTTTACTAAAAATACAAAAAATTAGCTGGATGTGGTGGCAGGCGCCTGTAATCCCAGCTATTTGGGAGGCTGAGGCAGGAGAATCACTTGAACCCAGGAGGCGGAGGTTTCAGGGAGCCCAGATCAGGCCACTGCACTCCAGCCTGGGTGACAGTGTGAGACTCTGTCTTAAAAAAAACAAAAAAGAATAACTGATCTAGAATGGCAAATCATTATAGCTATTCAGAAGAAAACATACATAAAGGCCTAAATTGGGTAAACAACATTGGTAGAAGAGTGTTTCTGTGTATGGTATTTTTTTTTAATTTCCAGGGAATTATAAAGTATGTTTTTATTAATCTTCTTAAAAAGAATATCTCTCGTTTGAATAAAACCAGAATCCTGTAATTTCAGTATTGTAAGTCCTCTTAGAAATTATAGCCCAACCCTATTGATGGTACAGATGATGAATCTGAGATCCAAACAGTAGAAGGGACTCGTCTCAGGGTCACATGGCTTGTTAGTGGCTTTTGAAAAATCAAAGGTAAAGTAACTGCCTACAGGTGATCATCACAAAGATAACCCAAGAATGAACTCTTTGTGGCTATCCCCAGGTTTACAAGATGCCAAACATATTGTAGGGCACCAAAAGCAAAAACTATGCTTAATAATCTAGGTTTTTCTCTAAATTAGAAAACATCTTAAACATTCAGACATCACTGGAGAGTCTTGGTCTCAGATCTGAATCTTGAAAAACCATGACAGGCAATTTGGTCAACCAGAATTTCCATCTAAGAGCCTGATCCTATATTGCAGAAATATTTTTTGACATAGGATATTGTTGCCTTTTCTTGCTGTTTTTCTTAGCACTAGAGATCACACTCCAAATTGTTTGTAAGTCATTTTGACCTGTCATAAATAAGTGCAGAACCATGATACTTCTCTGCAGCAACTCAGACTTCATTTTGGAGTTACAGAAGCATCGTATTTAACTCAACTACAAAAAGCAGACCCAAATTTCCAGGCTAAAACCTCCTGTTCAGTATTGCTTCAGACTAGGAAAATATTGCTATTTAAAACTAACTTCTGTTATTTCTGGCTTCTGCTCAAATTACGCTTTTCACAAGAAACAAATCCTCATCCAGAAGACAGAATTAGGAATCCAGCCTGAGTGAGTAATTTGGGCCTCAGATTTTTAATCTGTAAAATAAGGCCTAAATAATAACTAATGCTCTTCTAATCTGAAATATTCTTTTTTCTTCATGTCTTGTTTTCTTACCTTCTTCAGAAATTCACTCAAATCAAAATTCTCCTTCTCAATTAATCCACTTTATATAAAATTTAAATGTACGCCTCCTCTCACTATTACATACTCTTTTTTCATGCTTTATTTGTTTCTTTGTAGAACTTATCACCACCTTACATACTACATATTTCACTTGTGTAATTATTTTCCATTCCATTCACTGGGATATGAGCTTCACAACAGCAGAGATTTTTGTTTTGTTCCATGACATGAGCCTAGGATGCTCTCTTTCATATAGTAAGTAATACATATTTGTTGAGTGAAAGAATGAATGGTTCTATTTTAAGCATAATTGAATATCTGAAATTGTGAAAGCTTCTTGTAGGTCACATTTCTGATATTGAATACAAATTTTAGTACTAAGTATATATGTCTTCACACACTTTGACATTTTATAGTCAAATGTGCACACTATATACTCATTTATACTATTTCTATTTTGAAAACCAGAAAGGTTTCTAGTATCTTTTTTTCCTAACATACTGATTGTCAAGTATAAGCTCTATTCAGTGTCAATGTTTTGGTCATAAATTCAATCCTCAAGTGTAATATAATGTCAATGAGAAAATTTTTACCACATTCTGCTTTATATTTAGTATCCAGGGACAGATGCTGGCAGAAAGTAAAGACTGCCTGTTTTTGCCTACAGAAACCTACCAATTTGACATTCTTCAGAATTAAACTTTTTTTAACTATATAAGTTTCTGGCCAGAATTCAGCATATAATCAAATTTCTATTTATTCAAGTTTAATTACAGTATCCCACTATATATGCATCTATTTTTAAATAAACTCCTTGAAACAGAGTTCAGAAAAGTGATGCTTCATGCCTCTATTTCACACATTTAAGAAAACATTTTCCAACAGTAACTGTAATGTCAAGTTTTAAGAACCAGGTAGTAGAAAAGTAAAATAATGGGAATGAAAATACAAAGTCTTAGTAGTAAATCTATACCCAAGTTAACAAGGGGAGCTATTGAAGGAGAAAGGAGTAATAAATACACAGCTCAAGGGGAATATGCAGTAAGGGCATATTTCCTTAAGAATACAAATAAGAATAAGAGATAGTCTTACCAATGGTGATTGGAAAGTTTATGGACAAATTATGTAACAGCTCAGATATCCAATGTCTTCAGAAAAAGGGTATTCCGAATATGTAATTGTCTAGAAAGTTCAGCTCCTTAAGAATCAAAATTTGCCCATAAAAATATTTTATAGGACATTTTTAAATATCTTGCTCAGTTTGCCCCTTCTTTTAAAAAGCATACTGAACATATATAATGTTTACTTTCTATAATTGAGTAGTTATAATAAAGCTAAACCCATGTTAAACTGTTTCTTTTTACCAATTCCTGGAAAATGAGTTTATGTGGAGTTGGTTTTCTATAGAGACCAGTGCAACTGTGCCTTCAGTCTGTCTCAAACAATCACAACATAAGTTTATCTTTCCCAGGATTAGCCAAATATTTAGTGTTAAGTACTGAAAATCATATACCTTTTGTATTTCATTTTTCTTTTCTCCATCTCCATCTCATAAATCATTCTTCCTGGCAATCTTCCTTTACATTAAAAAAAAAAAAAGAACCACTTAGCACTGTTTATTTCCTGGCTCTCCTCCTGGTTCTGTTTAATCTCTTAGTCAAACTCTCTGTTTAAGATCTTTCTGCCCTTCTGGCAGTAGCTGTGGTATTGGCAAGCACTGGGACAGTATTCCTGTCAAAGTAGATTTTTCTGGTGCCCAAAATGATGGAAAGTATCACCACTAACCCCTAATTTTACTTCCCCATATTCAGAGAGTAAGACTTTTAAATTTACATCCCCATTTTAGGAAGTAATAGATAAAATTAGAGACTGCTTTTGCCATTAAGCCATTTTAAGAAAGCACTTGCCTGAATTGAGCAGAGCTCCTTTAGAGGTGCTGAAAGGATGTTTCCAGGTCCTTTCTTTGATCTTCAAAGAATGAAAACAGCATTTAGGAAGAAACTTCCGGAGTCTGTGGGCTGAGACCATTTTTGTTACTTCATTCTCGTCCTCCACAGTACCTAGAAAGGAAGGAAAGGAGGAGCAAGGAAAGGTATATTTTGGATTTTGCAATCAACAAAGTCATACAAGAAAGAGAAATAAGGAAGGAAATAAAGTATTGGGAAAATTCCACTAAAAATGAGTGAGTTTCCAAGATACTTGTTTTATGCCCCCCTCCATTTCCAGCTCAAGTCCTGTCTTATTCCTCCACTAGAACTTTTCAAAACCAAATCCTACAGTACACACTCTGCCTACAAATATCTATACCCCCTTATATCATTTTTCCTCCTTTTCAATCCCCAAAAGTTCTTGTGCTCCATTTCAATGCTAGTGAGACAAATGTGACAATTAAAAAGAGGTTCCTGTTCAAGAACTTGGTCCCAGTTCTTTACTTATTAAGATAGGTCATTTGACACAAAACATGGACTAATTCTCCTACTCTGATTCACTATGTGATATATAAATAATTGGTTTTAAAAAAGTACATCCAGACAAAAAAATATGCCTGCATATAGATCCTACTTAGTGTATCTGCTTAAGGCACCTCAAGCTTTAGTCACCAAAGTAATTAGAGTTGGTATTTGGGAAAACCAGACTCCCTTGAACCATGAAAGAGATATATGAAAAAACAATAAGTGTCCATACACTCATATCTAGGCCAAATTGCAAGTGTCCATTAGTTTGGAATTCAGAGTTTGGGGATGTGGTAATAAACTCAATATTTGTGACATAGCTAAAGTATCACACAATTAGCAAGACTTTTGCTAACTAACCCAGCACAAAATGTACTTTTCCTCTTGTAAACATTTACTTGATTATGGGTCACTTTTTATACAATGCTCATTTTTTTTACATGTCTTATCTACTCATACATATTTAAGAGATGCCCTGGGCACAGTTCATCTTGATCTCTGCCACCATAATGCCTGGAAAGTTCTTCTCAAACCATAAATACTGCTTTGCCTATTGACTCACAGGTGTACAGAATCCAAAGTGGCCAGGTAGCCATTTTAACTTTCAGCAGAGCATAAGGTCGCAGGCACAGAATGTACAAATTTTTCTAATGAATCACTAAAAGTAACAGTGAGTTTTGCCACTCTCATTTTCACTCCTTGATTCCTGAACCTACACATCTTGGCTATGGAAGAAGCAGCACCATAAATTGAATGTTGATTTACAGCATAACCAGCCTTCTGGAGAACACTGCCCCCAGCCCTGCATGGTATTGTGATTTGGGTGGCACAATAACTGAGTCTTCAAAAGGCTGTTCCACTATTCTATCAAGTCATCAACTTTAGGAGGTTGGGGAAATAATAACACCAGTGAATTCTGTAGGCACGGGCTCGTTGCTACCCTTCATTTGTTGTTAAGTGATTTCTTCATCAGAAGCAATGCTGTGTGGAATTGCATGATAGTAGAAAGGCATTCTGTAAGTCATGAATGGTAGTTTTGGTAGAAGCAGTGCATGCATCCATATCCAAATTGTTTATTCTAATGTGGTAATATATACAGCATGGAATACAATTCATCCATTAAAAAGGAATGAAATAATGTCTTTTGCTGCAAGTTGGATGGAGCTGGAGGCCATTATTCTAAGTGAAGTAACACAGGAATGAAAAACCAAAAACCGTATGTTCTCACTTATAAGAGGGAGCTAAGCTATGAGTACACAAAGGCATACAAAGTGATATAATGGACTTTAGAGACTCAGAAGGGGGAGGGTTGGAAGGCAGTTAGGGATTAAAAAAGAAAGTACACATTAGGTACAATGAACACTACTCAGGTGACAGGTACACTCAGAATTTACCACTATATAATTCATCCATGTAACAGAAACCCCCTTGTACCACAAAAGCTATTGAAACAAAAAAAAAATAAAAACAAAAACAATGTATTTATTCCAGTAAGAACAAAACACTGCCCTTTCCACAAGGAAAGTGGTCTGCTGTAACCAACCTACCAGTGGGTACTTGGCTAATCACTTCAGTAAATGGTGCCATATTGGGAGCTCAGTGTTGTTCTGTGCTGCTGACAGATGGGACACTCTGCAGTGACTGTAGCCATGTCAGCCTTGGTGAGTGAAAGTTCATGTTGCTGACCCCAGGTATAACCTCCATCCCTTCCACTTTAGCCATTTTCTTCCTAAATCCATTGGAAAATGAGAGCAGTGCCTGGGGAAAGAAGTTGACTGTTAGCCACAGATTGGGTCATCCTATCCACCTTATTAAAATCCACGTCTGCTCAGGTCACCCTTTGGTGAGCACTCACATGGGATAACAATAATTTCATGTTTTCCAATTATTAAAAAAAATTGTCTATCCAAGGGCCTTTTCCCCAGATCCCCTTGTCACTGATTTTCTAATTATGCCCTTTCCAAATCCCTGACCATCCAGCCAAACCTTTGGTCACATACCATGAATTGGTATATAATCACATATCTGGTGATATCTCCTTCCAAAAAAAGTGAACAACAAAATGCACTGCTCAAAGTTTTGCCCACTGGGAGGATTTTCCCTTCACCAGTGTCCTTCAGGGATATCCCAGAAAAGGGCTGTAGTGCTGTAGCTGTCCACTTTCAGATGGTGTCCTCATATTGTGCAGAAACATTTGTAAACCAGGACCAAGTCTTCTACTTTTATGGCAAGTGATCATGTAGAACTTTCCATGTGGCCATAGGTGCAGGCTGTGTAGAAGAAAAGGCAGTGTAGCAGGAGTAGGGACCATGGGCATTTAGGCCACTTTTTCATGTAACTTATCTATGCCTTAAGGTCTTGCTGAAACCTAATATCATACATATCACATACATTTGATAATGGAGTGTGACTATGAATGCCCAATTTTCTGGCTTGATGGGTCAGGCAATACTCAGTTTATGGTGGGCAGCTAAAGTTTCATGTAACTTGGTAGCTGACAGTTAAGCATTCAATTTCTTCTGAGGTCCAATAATAAACCAAAAGTTGTTTCTCAGAAAAGAACAGTTATCTGACAAAGATGGCCGAATTTTGTTTCAAAATCTGAAGGGTCTGTGCTGCAATTCACCTCTACAGGCCTGCCCAAGGCTCCAAACAGCATGGCTATCTGCCACTGGATAGCATCATTGGATCTGCTGAACCATATGACCCAAAAGGCAGAACAGCTCGGACCGGTTGCAGAGCTTTCTCTTGCTCTGGGTCTCACTCATAACTAGGTTTTCAGGTCCCTCAATAAATATTTCAAGTATCACACCTGAATGATGAATATATTGTCTCTAAAATCCAAAGAGGCCCAGTAGGCATTGTACCTATTTTTGTTTGTAGGAGGGGCCAGGTGCAATATTTTCTTCACTCTAGAAAGGATATCTTGACATGTACCACATCACGAGACCCCTGGAAATTTCACTGAGGTGAAAGATCCCTGAATTTTAACTGGATTTATTTCCCAACCTCTGAACATGCAAATGTCTTAACAATTAGTCTACAGTAGCTGCACTTCTGGCTCTCTGGATCCAAGGAGCACAATGTCTTCTATGTGATGGACCAGTGTGATGTCTCATGGAAGGGAAAGGCAATCAACATCCTGTTGACTAAATTATGGCATAGAGCTGGAGAGTCAATATACCCCAAAGGTAAGACAAGGAAGGTGTATTTCCAGCCTCACCAGCTGAAAACAAAATACTTCTGGTGTTTTTTACTGACAGATATGGAGAAAAAATTGCAGATGAGTAGCTGCGTATCAGTACCAAGGGACGACTTAATTTGCTCACAGAATGAAACCACATCTGGAATTGCAGCTGCAATTAGAGTCATCACCTGGTTCAGTTTACAATAATTCACTGCTATCTTCAAAGATCTGTTTTCTGAAATAGCCAAATAGGTGAATTGAATTGGACTATGTTAGGAATCACCACCCTTGCATCCTTCAGTCCTTAATGGTAGCAATAATCTCTGCAATCCCTCCAGGAATGCAATACTACTTTTTATTTACTATCTTCCTAAGTAGAAGCAGATCTTGTGGCTTCCACTTAACCTTTCCTATCATAGCAGCCCTTACTCTGCAAGTTATGAAACCAGTGTGGAAATTGTGCCAGTCACTGAGTATGTCTTTTACAATTATGCATTCTGGTACTGAAAAATAATGACAGGATGGGTTTGGTGACACACTGGACCCACTAAGATATACATGAGCTAAAACTCCGTTCATCACCTGACCTCCATAAGCCCCTACTGTGACTAGTGGATCACAGTGGCATTTTGGATCTCCTCAAATTAGTGTCAGTTCAGACCCAGTGTCTCATAATCCCCAAAAAGTCTGGTTATTTCCTTTTCCTCCATGCACAATCACCTTAATAAAAGGCCATAAGTCCCTTTGGGGAAGGCTGGGAGGAAGATAAATAGAATAATATTCTGGGAGTTTCCACTTCTTTAAGGGCACATGTTCTCCCCTTTATGTAAGTGATTCTGGGTCTGAAAACTGGATACATCCAGTTTTGATCAAAGGGCCACAATTCTATCTTTTGATAATTTTTATTAGACTTCTGTGTACTTGACTTAGAATTCTTCTGCTTATACACATCAAGTAAGAATTTATCAGACCTCCCATCTGTTGCTCATCGGGGTATTTCATGATCAACTAGCCAATGACTGACTGTGAGTCAGACTATTCTGAGTACTTCTTTGACTCAGCTGTACATTATGGTAACCATGGCCACCTTGTCTTTGATAATGAAGTGCCACCATTTGGCCCTTGCCACCTCAGGCTCCAGTACCTGATTGTATCTAAGGATCTCAGTTCAGTGGCAGCAGTTCCCACTGTAATTCCTGACCTACAAAGAGTGACCACAGAGCCCTTCAAGGATTCTGTGGCTTCTCTCATGAATTTATTTCTCACAGTCATGGTGACAGAGGTGTCTTCTGACCCTTCCTATGTGGCTGAGCAGTACTTACCTAAAAAAATCCACTCTAATATTCCAACCTCTCTAAGCCTGATTCAGCCCTGATACAACTTGTGTTCTTTTCATGTTTATCTGACACTCTTAATATCAATTACTACATATTTTCTCAGATTTCTGTCTCTATCATTTGGAAAATAATGCAGTTCTTTCTGAGCATAGCACAACTCTTTATGTGTCACACTTTTTACCTCATCCTTTGGGACCTGCTGGGACTTGAGTCTAGTTGTAGACCTAGAAGCAAAAAGGGGTAATGGGGATAGATCCAGAGGATAAATAGCAGTGTTGCAAGGCAGCTACTATAGGGGAAGCTATTGCAGTTTCCTCAGAAATAGTAGATTTAACCTCCTCAGGTGAGCATGGAAAGTTGCTTCTACTGGCAAAGAAGACTTGACTGAATTTAGAGGCTCAATGTTATCAGCTTCATCAGGATCTGCGCATATGTCCCCATGTCAATTTTGAGGATCCCATTTCTTCCCAATGTCCTTATTTTAACAGCAGACATCCTGCGAGGTTAGGAATTCTATTTGTGTTGTAATGTAATCACTCACAGAATGAGACTCAGGGTTTGGTTTTCTGCTATCTCAGCCCTGCAGCTGCAGATAAGCATTTCTTTCAGAGCAGGCATAGAATTTTTCAGGTTATTTCTGCAGTGCTTGGGCTGGGAATTTAAATCCCTAAGCTAGCTAATCCTTTTCTTTCTCCACAATGTCCAACGCAATTAAGAACTGGCCACTTTCATTATACTCATTAGTTTTACAAGTATGTTCTAAGGTGTCAAAATGTGTGTTCATACTAAATCTTGCCTCTTTTAAATATTTCATTGGGAATATCCAATAGTGATTTTTTGCTTATCTCTTTTGTCACATCATACCATGGACTATCTGTGCCCTCTTTCTATTGGAAATAAAGTCATTATGCCCTTAAATCAAATCAGAATAGAGAACCAATTACAGAAATCCCATAGTCAATTCAAAAAACTTATCCTGAAGATTCATTCTATTTCTCTATAATAATCCCCAATTACAAAATCAATATCAGTCAGGGTTCTTCAAACAAATAGAACCAAGAGAATATACTTTTTAATATTTCTCTCTCTTTAACTTTTATTTTAGGTTCCGAGGTACATGTGAAGGTTTGTTACATAGGTAAACTCATGTCATAGGGGCGTGTTGTACAGATTATTTCATCACCAGGAATTAAGCGCAGTACCCAATAGTTATCTATTCTGCTATTCTCCCTCCTTCCACCCTCCACCCTCAAGTAGACTCCAGTGTCTGTTGTTTTCTGCTTTGTCTTCATAAGTTCTCATCATTTAGCTCCCACTTATAAGTGAGAACATGTGGTATTTGGTTTTCTGTTCCTACTTTAGTTTGCTGAGGATGATAGCCTCCAGCTGCATCCATGTTCCCAGGAAAGGCATGATCTTGTATTTTTATGGCTGCATAGTATTTCATGGTGTATATGTAGCACATTTTCTTTACCCAATCTGTCATTGATGGGCATTTAGGTTGATTCCATTCCTTTGCTATTGTGAATAGTGCTGCAGTGAACATTTGCATGTATGTGTCTTTATGGTAAAATGATTTATATTCCTCTGAGTATATACCCAGTAATGGGTTTGCTGGGTTGAATGGCAGTTTTGCTTTTAGTTCTTTGAGGAATTGCCACACTGCTTTCCACAATGGTTGAACCAATTTATACTCCCACCAATAGTGTATAAGTGTTCTCTTTGCTCCACAACCTTGCCAGCATATGTCATTTTGTGACTTTTTAATAATAACCATTCTAACTGGTGTTAGATCATATCTCATTGTGGTTTTGATTTGCATTTCTCTAAGAATCAGTGATAATGAGCTTTTATTCATATGCTTGTTGGTCACATGTATGTCTTCTTTTGACTTTTGACTTCTATGGACTTTTAAAATCTTTCTCCTTATCTCTTCTTCTGTTCTGTCTATCTTTACTTCCGCTGACTTTGTTCAGGACTTCATCAGCTTATACATGGATCTTGCAAGAACTCCCTGTATGGACTCTTGAAATCCAAACTTGCCCCATAATGTTTACCGTGAAGTGATCAAATACATGTTTTCTCTTGTAAATTTGTTTGAGTTCTTTATAGATGCTGGATATTAGGCCTTTGTCAGATGCATAGTTTGCAAATATTTTCTCCCATACTGTACATTGTCTGTTTACTCTATTGATAGTTTCTTTTGCTTTGCAAGAAGCTACTAAGTTTAGTTAGATCCCACTTGTCAATTTTTGCTTTTGTTGTGATTGCTTTCGGTGTCTTCATAATGAAACCTTTGCCTGTTCCCACATCCAGGATGGTATTGCATAGGTTGACTTCCAGGATTTTTATATATTTGAGTTTTACATTTAAGTCTTTAATCAATCTTGAATTGATTTTTGTGTATGGCATAAGGAAGAGGTCCAGCTTTAGTCTTCTGCATATGGCTAGCCAGTTATCCTAACACCATTTATTGAGTAGGAAATCTTTTCCCCATTGCTTGTTTTTATCAGCTTTGCCAAAGATCAGGTAGTCATATGTGTGAGGCCCTATTTCTGACCTCTGTATTCTGTTCCAATGGTCTATGTTCCTGGGATTTTTTCCTACCAGTACCATGCTGTTTTGTTTACTCTAGCCCTTTAGTATAGTTTGAAGTCAGGTAACGTGATACTTCCAGCTTTGTTCTTTTTGCTTAGGATTTCTTTGGCTATTCAGACTCTTTTTTTGTTTCATATGAATTTTAAAAGTTTTTCTAGTTCTGAGAAGAATGTTATTGGTAGTTTGATAGGAATAGCATTGAATCTGGAAATCACTTTAGGCAGTTTGACCATTTTAATGATATTGATGTTTCCTATCCATGAGCATGGAAGGTTTTTTCACTTGTTTGTGTTTTCTCTGATTTATTTGAACAGTGTTTTGTAATTTTTATTGTAGAAATCATTTATCCCCTTGGCTAGTTATATCCCTAGGTGTTTTATTATTTTTGTAGCTATTGTGAATGGGATTGCATTTCTGATTTGGTTCATAGTGTGGATGTTGCTGGTGTACAAAAATGCTACTGATTTTTGTACATTAACTTGGTATCCTGAAACCTTGCTAAAGTGATTTATCAGGCCAAGGAGCTTTTGGTCAGAGGCTATGGGTTTTTTTAGGTATGGAATCATATTATCTGTAAACAGAGATAATTTGACTTCCTCTCTTTCTATTTGGATGTGCTTCACTTCTGTCTCTTGCCTGATTTTTCTGGCTAGTACTTCTAGTACTATGTTGAATAGGCATGGTGAGAGACGGCATGCTTGTCTTGCGCTGATTTTCAAACGGAATGCTTCCAGCTTTTATTTTAAGTAATTGGCTTATATAATTGTGCAGACTTGAAATTCCAAAATCTGCAGGCAGGTCAGAAGGCTAGAATCTCAGTCAAGAATTAATGTTATAGTCTTGAGTCTGAAATCTGTAGGACTTGCCAACAGTCTGAAAATTCAAGCAGGATTTCTTTTTTTTTTTTTTTTTTTGAGACGGGGTCTCGCTCTGTTGCCCAGGCTGGAGTGCAGTGGTGCGATCTCGGCTCACTGCCAGCTCTGCCTCCTGGGTTCATGGCATTCTCCTGCCTCAGCCTCCCGAGTAGCTGGGACTACAGGCGCCCGCCAACACGCCTGGCTAACTTTTTTGTATTTTTAGTAGAGACGGGGTTTCACCATGTTGGCCAGGCTGGTCTTGATCTCCCGACCTCGTGATCCACCCGCCTCAGCCATCCCAAAGTGCTGGGATTACAGGCGTGAGCCACCACGCCCGGCACAAACAGGATTTCTATGTTACAGTCCTGAGGCAGAATTTCTTCTTCTCCTGAGAAATTTGCTTTTGCTTAATGTTAAAGGAGGTGCCTGGTGGGAGGTGATTAAATCATGGAGGTGAACTTCCCCCTTGCTGCCCGCATTATAGTGAGCTCTCATGTTTAAAAGTGTGTAGCACTTCCCTCATCACTCTTTTCCTCCTGCTTCAGCCACGTAAGAAGTGCTTGATTGCCCTTCACCTTCTGACACGATTGTAAGTTTCCTGAGGACTCCCGGACCATGCTTCCTGTACA